>NC_000003.12:196423565-196574564 GCF_000001405.40 Homo sapiens
GTGGGGACATGGCAGAGGCCTGAAACTCAGCTCAGAGCCTCAGGGAGCATAAGGTGGGGCATAGCAGGACAATCCCAGTCTTGGAGACAAGTTGCTTATCTGCCTGGCCTCCAACCCCCATCTGACTTATCCACTTGACAAGGTGAGTGGATAAACCCAAAGTACCTTGGGGCACTTAAAGTCCTGCATGGATGTGAATTTTATCAACTCTAAGATTCTGAAGCACCACAGGGACAGAAGAGAGCCATCTTGAAGCTAATTGTGTTAGCTAAACAAAGGACTAATTAGAGACTAATTATTCCATTTACAAAATAATTTTTCACTTTTTTTTTTTTTTTTTTTGAGACAGAGTCACACTCTCTTGCCCAGGCTGGAGTGCAGTGGCAAGATCTTGGCTCTCTGCAACCTCTGACTCCCGGGTTCCAGCGATTCACCTGCCTCAGCCTCCCGAGTAGCTGGGATTACAGGTGCCCACCACCATGCCCGGCTCATTTTTTGTATTTTTAGTGGAGACAGGGTTTCACCATATTGGCCAGGCTGGTCTCAAACTCCTGATCTCATGTGATCCACCTGCCTCAACCTCCCAAAGTGCTGGGATTACAGGCATGAGCCACCACACGTGGCCACTCCTGATGCTTTAAGTGCCATGATACTCTCCTGGTTTTCCTCCTACATCTTTGGTTTTTCCTGAGTCTTCTCTGCACTTTCTTCTTTGCAGTCCCCCGGATGTTGGTGTTCCTTCAGCATTGTGTCCTGGAGTCTACTATTTCCCACACTACACTCCCTCCTGCAAGATGCCATCCTTTCTCTTTTCCTAATTTTTTTTTTTTTTTTTTTTTTTTTTTAAGAGACAAGGTCTCTCTCTGTCACCCAGGCTGGAGTATAGCAGCAGGAGCATAGTTCACTGCAGCCTCAAAGTTCTGGGTTCAAGCAATCTTCCCAAGTCAACCAGGATTACAGGTGCACACCACCAGGCCCAGTTAATTTTTTTTTACTTTTTGTAGAAACAGGCTCTTTGCTATGTTGCCCAAGCTGGTCTTGAATTTCTGGCCTCAAGCAATCCTTCCACCTTGGCATTCCAAAGTGCTGGGATTACCGGTGTGAGCCACTAGGCCTCGCCTCATCCATTTTTATAACCTTTTTTTTTTTTTTTTTTTGAGACAGAGTCTCGCTGTCGCCCAGGCTGGAGTGCAATGGCGTGATCTCAGCTCACTGCAACCTCCGCCTTCCAGGTTCAAGCAATTCTCCTGCCTCAGCCTCCTGAGTAGCTGGGATTACAGGCACACACCACCATGCCCGGCTAGTTTTGTATTTTTAGTAGAGACGGGGTTTCACCATGTTGGTCAGGCTGGTCTCAAACTCCTGACCTCAGGTGATCCACTCGCCTCGGCCTCCCAAAGTGCTGGGATTCCAGGTGTGAACCACCGCACCTAGCCCCATTTTTATAACTTTAACTGCCATGAATATGACAGATTTCTCACTCTTCTTTCTAGACCCAAATATTCATCTGCTTCAACAGCTCCATCTGGAAGTCCTATTAGCAGCACCTTAACTTATCCAAAACTGAGCTAACCATCTTCTCCCCACACCTTTCTGCTATTCCATACCTTCATAAATAGCACTGTTACATACCTAGGTGTCCAAAACAGAATCCTAAACTTCATTTTGACTCTGATTTCTTCCCATACCTTTTGGAGTCCACTTCTCCGCCACTAACTTTTTTCAGGACACCACTATCTTTCTTGGGTTAATATAACAGCCTTCTACTGATCTCTGTGCCTATCTCTTCTCCATTATAGCCAAGTAACTCTTTCTTTAAAAAAAAAAAAAAGGTCAAATCAGATGTAACTCCTTTTTTAATAAATAAAATTTTAATACATTTTGTAGAGATGGGGTCTCACTATGTTGCCTAGGCTGATCTCAAGCTCCAGGCCTCCCACCTCAGCCTCCCAAAGTGCGGGAATTATAGGTGTGAGCCACAGTGCCCAGTCTCACTCCTCTAATTAAAACCCTTGACTCCCCACTATTCTCAGAATAAAGACAAGATTTTTTTTAACATGGCTTATAAGGCCCAACCCAATCTCCCATTTATCTCTTGAGGTCCATTTATTGCACTAGCTGTGCTTTACTCATTTGGAATTATCAATTCCCTAAACCGATTGTCTCCCCTCTCTCATCTCTGTCTGTATACATGTCTGCCCAATTCCCCTCCAAGTCTCTGCATGTTTCTCCTGCAAGAAACATCTTCCAGATTTTAGATAAAAAAGTATTTATTCTGGGAAGGTTTTCTTGACCTCCCTCTTTTGTGCTCCAGTATTAGCTCCTTACCATTCTCTCACTGTATTCTAATACCTATTCGTGTGTCTCTATTCCTGTTAACCTTTAAGCTTTCTGAGGACAGACACCACGCCTTGCTCACAGTTGTATCCTTAAGATGTGAACCATGCCTGGCACGTAGCAGTCTACCAATAAATGAATCTACTAGTAAGATTCCATTCGCAACTCAAAATTACCTCCCTTAAATTTCTGAAACTTCAGCCAGGCATGGTGGCTCAAGCCTGTAATCCCAGCGCTTTGGGAGGCTGAGGTGGGTGGATCACCTGAGGTCAAGAGTTTGAGACCAGCCTCGCCAACAAGATGAAACCCCATCTCCATTAAAAATACAAAAAATTTAGCTGGGTGTCGTGACGCGCATCTGTGGTCCCAGCTGCTCAGGAGGCTGAGGCAGGAGAATCACTTGAACCGGGGAGGCGGAGGTTGCAATGAGCCAAGATCACAGCACTGCACTCCAGCCTGGGTGACAGGATAAGACTTCGTCTCAAAAAAAAAAAAAAAAAGAAATTCTGAAATGTATTCCCTATTGAAACTATTCTTAAAATTCCTGAAGTTTTCTCTTAACATCTATAATACTGTGACCACCTTTCCAGACACAGAGAACTTAATCATAGTTTAATATTAACCCAAGAGAAAGGAAATGTTCTGTACAAAAGCATATGAATGAGGCCAGGCGCGGTGGTTCACACCGGTAATCCCAGCACTTTGGGAGGTCGAAGCAGGAGGATCACCTGAGGTCGGGAGTTCGAGACCAGCCTGACCAAAATGGAGAAACCCCGTCTCTACTAAAAATACAAAATGAGCCGGGCGTGGTGGCGCATGCCTGTAATCCCAGCTACTCAGGAGGCTGAGACAGGAGAATCGCTTGAACCCGGGAGGTGGAGGCTGCAGTGAGCCAAGATCGTACCTTTGCACTCCAGCCTGGGCCACAGAGTGAGACTCTGTCTCAAAAAAAAAAAAAAGAACATGAATGGAAATTGGCCATAAAGTTAAATACCACAAACATGACAGCCCCTAATTTTTATAATAAATATGCACTCATCAACCATCTGAAAGATTAAGGTCTCTTCTACAACTGAGGTTCTATAATTTTCTCAAGTATGTTATTGCCGCTATGCACAAAGCTCTATGAATTTCCGTACCAGTAACCTCTTGTACTCTTCTTAGCCTCCACTTTCTATGCCCTCACATTTGTCCTTAGACTGCTAGCTTATTTTTCACCTGTTCTATAGTGTCTATGTATCCCTCACCTTCACTCCATGAATTATTCTGATTACACATGTGCACCAGTGTATATGTGTAGTGGATGTCAGCCCAAAGTTGGTGCTAATGGAATACTGCCATGGCTCAAAACATTTTTACTTTTATTTACTTTTTCTTTTTTTGAGACAGGGTCTCGCTCTGTGCTCGCTTCAGCAGCACATATACTAAAATTGGAGACAGAGTCTCGCTCTGTCGCCCAGGCTGGAGTGCAGTGGCTGGATCTCGGCTCACTGCAACCTCCGTCTCCTGGGTTCACGAGATTCTCCTGCCTCAGCCTCCTGGGTAGCTGGGACTACAGGCGTGCACCACCATGCTCAGCTAATTTTTGTATTTTTCGGAGAGACAGGGTTTCACCAGGTTGGCCAGACTGGTCTGAAGCTCCTGACCTCCGGTGATCCACCCGCCTTGGCCTCCCAAAGTGCCTGGGATTACAGGCGTGAGCCACCGCACCTGGCTTCAAAACATTTTTAAAAATTGCTCTTTCAGAATAGATCCAGCTGCATATTTTTCCTTCATGTTTTGAGAATTGATATGACTTCTGAGTTTTCAACAGTAATTCAAAGCCATGTATGATAAATATCAGAGGAGATCAAACAGTAGTATTGTAAAATGTGGAATGACTATAAAAGTAACAAGACTGGTTTTCTTATGTAGCTTTAAATGACACAGAAAGCATCAGTGGGGCCGGTTGCAGTGGCTCACGCCCATAATACCAGCACTTTGGGAGGCTGAGGAGGGCAGATCACTTGAGGTCAGTTTGAGACCAGCTTGCCCAACATGGTGAAACTCCATCTCTACTAAAAATACAAAAATCAGACGGGCATGGTGGCTTGAGCCTGTAATCCCAGCTACTGCGGAGGCTGAAGCAGGAGAACTGCTTGAACCCAGGAGGCGGAGACAGCAGTGAGCCGAAATCATGCCACTGCACTCCAGCCTGGGTGACGGAGTGAAATTCTGTCGAAAACAAAAACAAAAACAAAAACAAACAAAAAGCAAGCATCAATGGTAAACCATACTGTATACAGCTTCTCAGTGTGGTTACTTCAAAGGTCATCACTTCTCTTGGCTACCTGCTTATCAGTCTGACCATGCAAAAAAGGTTTGTAGCATAATGTTAAGTGAAAATTTCAGAACCGTGTATTTTAGCTGGGCATGGTGGCACATGCCTGTAGTCTTAACTGCTCTGGAGGCTGAGGCAGGAGAATCACTTGAGCCCAGGCGGTAAGGATGCAGCAAGCTATAATTGTGCCACTGTACTCCAGCCTGGGTGACAGAACAAGACCGTCTTTAAAAAAAAAAAAAGAAAAAGAAATCTCAGAAATTGTATATACTATGATCCACAATGTAAAAATAAGCATATAAACAAGAAGTGGAAGATAATATGTAAAATAAATATTGCTGTTGTGAGAAGGAGAATTAGTTCTTTTCCCTTTTATCAAAATTATTTCGGCCAGGTGCAGTGTCCCACGCCTGTAATCCCAGCACTTTGGGAGGCCAAGGTGGGTGGATTGCTTGAGCCCAGGAGTTCAAGACCAGCCTGCACAACAAAGTGAGACCCCATCTCCACAAAAAATAAAGAAAGTTACCCTAGAGGCTGCAGTGAGCCGTGATCACACCACTGCACTCTAGTCTGGGTGGCAGTGTGAGACCCAGTCCGTCTCAAAAAAAAAAAAAAAAGTTTTTATGATATTGTCTTTTTAATAATCTTTTTTAATCAGCCATTACTGAACCAGGCACAGTGATGTGCACCTGTAGCCCCAGTTACTGGGAGGGCTGAGGCAAGAGGATGGCTGAGCCCAGAAACTGGAGAACAGCTTGGGCAACAAAGAGAGGAGACCTCCATCTCTTAAAAAAAAAAAAAAAAAATCAAAAATCCGTCATTAGGCCAGGCGCGGTGGCTCACACGTGTAATCCCAGCACTTTGGGAGGCCGAGGCAGGCGGATCACGAGGTCAGGAGATCGAGACCATCCCAGATAACACGGTGAAACCCCGTCTCTACTAAAAATACAAAAAATTAGCCAGGCGTGGTGGCAGGCGCCTGTGGTCCCAGCTACTTGGGAGGCTGAGGCACGAGAATGGTGTGAACCTGGGAGGCAGAGCTTGCAGTGAGCCAACATCACGCCACTGCACTCCAGCCTGGGTGACAGAGCGAGACTCCGTCTCAAAAAAAAAAAAAACATCAGTCATTATTTCATACTCACTGAATCAGAGAGAGATCTGTTCTATTCAGTAAGAAATAAGACTTTTCTAAAATCTTTCAATTTTCCGTTCTATTTCTAAATGCCAAAAAAAGATAAGACTCACATTTATTTTTATTTTTTCTTTTTCTTTTTTTTGCTCCTGCCTAAAAAGTAAGGACTCACATTTTTGATGATGCATTTGTTTTTACAAGAATATTGAGCTTCCAAGTAAAACCTTTGTGAAATCAGAGCATAAGCTATTAAGGTCACTAAAATAAATATAAAATACCTTTTAATTATAAACACTACGATTAAAACGTATGTGGAGAGAACCCCAAAAAAATTTTAAGACATGTAAAAAAGGCAAAAAGAAATCAATCATGTGTTTCTAACGGTTAATCACTATCTTGTAAAAAGAATCCCAAAAATTATCAATAGAAATTCACAATATTTGAAGAACACTCAAAGGTATTTTCGCTCTGTAGATCTCCAGATACCACTGTCTACTGATTGAGGGACTCCAACTTGATCCAGCAATCAAGCTACGTAGACGAACAGAAACAGAATTAAAGCAATTAAGTGAGTCAATTCAACTCACCACACTTCGGTTTTTGTGTGTACCTAATAAAAATGTTGCAACAGAAGAAGTAATGTGGCGTTAAACCAATCAGAGTTTGGGAAGAGTAGTAATTAGCATAAGAAACTGAAAATTAATTAAGTGGCTTTTAGGGCCAGGCGCGGTGGCTCACGCCTGTAATCCTAGCACTTTGGGAGGCTGAGGTGAGTGGATCATTTGAGGACAGGAGTTCAAGACCAGCCAGGCCAACATGATGAAACCCCGCCTCTACTAAAAATACAAAAATTAGCCGGGCCTGGTGACAGGCGCTTGTAGTCCCAGCTACTCGGGAGGCTGAGACAGGAGAATCGCTTGAACCCGGGAGGTGGAGGTTGCAGTGAGCCAAGATCGTGCCTGGGAGATCTGCACTCCAACCTGGGCAACACAGCGAGACTGTCTCAAAATAATAATAATAATAATAATAATAAGTGGCTTTTTTTTTCTTTTTGAGAAATGATCTTGCTCTGTTGCCAGGGATGGAGCGCAGTGGTATGATCTACTCACCGCAGCCTTGAACTCCTAGGCTCAAGCAATCCTCCCACCTCAGCCTCCCCAGTAGCTGGGACTACATGTCGGTGCCACTACATCCAGCTCATTTTCTTATTTCTGTAGAGATGGGGCCTCACTATGTTTTGCCCAGGCTGGTCTGCAACTCCTCGCCCCATGTGAATCTCCAGCCTCCGTCTCCCAAACTGCTAGGATTACAGGCGTGAGACACCGCGCCAGGCCCAAGTGGCATCATAAACCATCTCTAGGAAATCTAAAGGATTAATAATGATATTCACTTCTCTATCAGATTCACTGCAAAGATTTTTCTATATAAGCATAATGCAGCAACACTAACTTATATACACAATAATCTTCTCCATAGCAATGATTTGTCAGACATTAGGAAATCCTTTACATATTTAATATAATAATCCAATCCTTTATATCTTCAATAATCCAATCACAAAGTTCAAAAATATTAAGAGAAGTTATCATGCAACTCCTCACCCCAATTTTATTGCAAATTTTACTTTACTTTGACCTGATGTTCCATGCCCACAAGCTAGATAACAATGCGTCAAATATCTCGTTATCATTGCAAAGCAAAAAAATAAAACTTGCTTTAATATAAAACGGTAACTAGTATACAACCTGTAGTAGTTAAAACAATATAAAATTTTACTTAACCAGATATTGCACGTTAAACTCTAGGAACATTAACAGTGGAAACATTCTCCGCATCTAACAAATTACGAGATAAAGTATAGATCCGTTGAGAGGGAACTAACATTCTGACCTCCTTCCAAAACGACAAACTAGAACGGCAAAATTACACTCAGGCACATTGGAGTACTCTTCTCTCAAATCACTCCACAGAGAACTTCATCATTTGCTCCGCCCTCTAATAACTCATGCAAGAAAAGTTCAGCACCATCAGAGAGAAACAAGACAGAGAGAATTCATAGAATGGCTTTAGGGCCTTTCCTCCAGGCGGTAAGAGGATCTGCGTGTGTCCTTCGCAGGGGTCCAAAGGGAGAGAACCTAGGCCTAGGGTTTCGGGGATACCGACACCCAGAAACAGATTTTCTCTCAAAGAAGTTTCTGCCGCCATCCCTATCTTATCAGCAGGAGGCCCCGGCGCCATCGTCTCCGTCTTTATGATTTTATTATGGGGAGGTGGGAAACGCCACCCTGGATTCTTCCAGGCCTCCCCTATTCAGCTTGGGGGTTCCCCCTCATTCTTCCCTCAAAGCCTCAGTCCCTGAGGTCCTCCTCAGCACCCCCCGCTTCTGGCGGCCTGTCCCCCGTGAAGTGTAAAGGCACGGCCGAACCCACCGGCCTTGCCGTGAAGGCGGGAGGGCCCGAACCCGCCAGGGCCACGGCGATGGCTCCGAGGGGCCCAGAAAGGGGAAGGGCAGGCCGGGGACCGGGGCAGAATGACCTGGCCGGGGAAGAAAGGAAAAAAGGAGGTGAGGAGATGCACCGCACCGCAGGGCTGCACAGAGAAGGGAAGATGATGAAGGAGGAGGAGGAGGGCGGTGGCCCGGGTGCGGCCCCCTACTCCTCCCGCCCCCGGGTCCCCGGGCCGGCGGGGGCGGACGGACTCGGCCCATTCCCAGGTCTGGGCTGGCGGGGGGTTGGGGGATCTCCCTCCACGCTACTAGGAGACAGAGAACGAGGGTATCGGGAGCGGGGGGGGGCTGTCTCCCGCCTGAACCCGGAGACCCCGACGCCGTCGTCGCCTCTTCCTCAGGAGGGAGGACGGCAGCTGTGGGTAAAGCCCGAAGGAGGAATGCCTGAAGGTAAGGGGAAGCCCGGGGCAGACCCGCTGCCCGCTCCGGACCCCACTCTCCACCTTCCGGTAACCGCGTCTCTTACCGGTAATGGTGGTGAACTGTTGAATTAACCCCTTCAGCGCCGAGGACGCCGCGGAGCCCCCGTGGGCAGCCATCTTACCGCCGCCGCCGCCGCCGAACAACAACACAGACACACACGGACTGCCCTCCCCCACTTCGCCGTGCGGTGTGCGCAGGCGCATTGACCGCCCCTCGAGCCCCGCCCCTCCCGTCCCCAGCGGTCTGCGCAGGCGCATTTTCCGACCGGGCCCGCGCGCTCCCAGCTCTCGGGTTGGCTGCTCGGTTGCTGCCTGCTCAGTGCATCCTTTTTGCCATTGCTGGTGCCTTCCTCTCCGGGCTCCAAGGCTAGCCTCGCAGGCGCGGTGTCGATTCCTAGATTCCGAAGGAAGCTTCGGTCTCGGCAGATAGTTCTTCGCATTTCAGCTTCGCAAGCTTTATTGACAGAGCCAACTGCCGATGACAGCATTTTTCTGTTTTGCGGTTGTACCGCACTCTATTAGGTTTCCTGCAGGTCCCATCAAAATGCAAACCCTACCTCCTCGCTTTGAAGCGACTCTCCCCGTACTCGCCCCCCAGCCTCTAAACTAATGGCTTAGCTAACCGATTGCGACGAGTGAAATACCAGAACCCTTCATGCCAAAGAAAGCACTTAGCGCGGGGTTGCCACCCAGTAGGTTTTCATAAACGATTGTTTAGTCTGCTTTCCTTAAATAAATTGGCCATCACGTCTCCCGTTAGGGTCTTAATGAGACCCCAAGAGGCGTCATTTGTATAAAAAGAAACTCTGTATATGCAGTAGAGGAAAGAAAACATATAGAAAGGAGACTGGAAAAGTGTGCTCAAAACGCTGGTAACGGTTACCTCCAGAGAAGAGAACGATCGGGACGATGGTCAAAGCGGACCTTACTTCGAGTTTCTTATTTATCTTTTTATTTTTAAACAAACATTATTGGCCGGGCGCGGTGGCTCATGACTGTAATCCCAGCACTTTGGAAGGCCGAGGTGGGAGAATCGCTTGAGGCAAGGAGTTCGAGACCAGACTGGGAAATATATCAAGAATCCATCTCAAAAAAAAAAAAAAAAAAAAGATATTCGTGTGTTCCTTGAATAATTTTAAGTATTTTGCAAAACAGTTACATGAGTGGGGTGCGCTCAAATCCAATAATCCCCCACCTTGCCCATAAAGTTAAAAGAGATTCCAAGTGATTCCGTTTGTTTTAGCCTCCCACCTTCCAACCTCCACCCACATATTTTGCATCTTCATAGGAAAATGGCCCAATAAAAGATGGGATGAGCTGTCTGAAGAATTGACACATCCTAAGAGTAAACATGCTATTGGGGAGAATTAAGAAAGAGCCATGTCAAATCAAGGGGTATAGTTTTTTGTTTTGTTTTGTTTGACAGGGAGTCTCGCTCTGTCGCCCAGGCTGGAGTGCAGTGGTGCAATCTCAGTTTACTGAAAGCTCCGCCTCCCGGGTTCAAGCGATTCTCCTGCCTCAGCCTCCCAAGTAGCTGGGATTACAGGCACACGCCACCACGCCTGGCTAATTTTTGTATTTTTAATAGAGACGAGGTTTCACCATGTTGAGCAGGCTAGTCTCAAACTACTGACCTCAAGTGATCCACCCGCCTCGGCCTCCCAAAGTGTTGGGATTACAGGCGTGAGCCACCACACCCAGTCGGGCTGTAGTTTCAAGAAGATATGATTGATGTAAAAGAAAGCAGACTCCAGTAATCCCAGCACTTTGGGAGGCCGAGGCGGGCGGATCGCCCGAGGTCAGGAGTTCCAGACCAGCCTGGTCAACATGGCGAAACCCCATCTCTACTAAAAATACAAAAATTAGCTGCTGTGGTGGCGCGGGCACCTGTAATCCCAGCTACTTGGGAGGCTGAGGCAGGAGAATCACTTGAACCCGGGAGGCAGAGGTTGCAGTGAGCCGAGATCATGCCACTGTGCTCCAGCCTGGGTGACAGAGCAAGACTCCGTCTCAAAAAAAAAAATGTATTTTAAGTTAAATGACAGATTGGTCCTGGCACTGCCTTCCAGGTTGCTGCAGTTCTCTAGATGGGCTGAGGAAGGGCAGGGATCAGTCATAAATTTCGGCAGCTGATTCCTTCACATTTGATGCAGAGGTGCAAAAACAGGCAAGGGAAGAAAGCCAAATCAAGAAAGTGTTACCTCTGTCTCCCTTCATCCTAAAGGCTGAGTCACTAGCCAGCCATGCAAAATCAAGCTCCACGTAAAATGGTATAACACCATTAACTACAAAAACTAAACACAGTGATTACTGTACCTCCATCAGATGGAGAGGCCAGTAATGAGCTCTGCAGGTTTATCAGGTTTATTTCCAAAATCTTATAATTCAGATTTAATGATATGATTTTGATTAACAGTGCAGGAAAAGGTGATAAAGTCTGTGGCATCCACAACTCCAGAAGGCATTTTTTTAGAAATTAAAAAATAAGATAAAAGAAAATTAGACAGGTGGCCAAAAAGATTCCATGGTCGGGGGGAGGGGGGGAAAGAAGGGAAGAAAATGAGACAGTTTCCATGGATAACCAGGGAACTGGGAAAAATAAATAAAGAAGTAATGAATAATACAACCTTGAAAAGCTTTTTTGGATTATTAAAGAATATGAAGGACTGACCAGTTGCGGTGGCTCACACCTGTAATCCCAGCACTTTGGGAGGCCGAGGCTGGGGATCACCTGAGGTCAGGAGCTCCAAACCCGCCTGACCAACATGGTGAAACACCATCTTTACTAAAAATACAAAATTAGCTGGGCGTGATGGTGCGTGCCTGTAATCCCAGCTACTCGTGTGGCTGAAGCAGGAGAATCGCTTGAGCCCGGGAGGTGAAGTTTGCAGTGAGCCAAGAATGAGCTACTGCACTCCAGCCTGGGCAACAGAGTGAGACTCCGTCTCAAAAAAAAAAAAAAAAAAAAAAAAAAAGAATATGAATATGAAGGATGGGTGTCGTGGCTCATGCCTGTAATCCCAGCACTTTGGGAGGCCAAGACAGGAGGATCACTTGAGCCCAGGAGCTTGAGACCAGCCTAGGCAACATAGGGAGACCCTATCTCTGAAAAAAGAAAAAAAAAGTTTAATTAGCCAGGTGCGGTGGTGCAAGCTTGTAGTCCCACCTACTCTGGAGGCTGAGGCGGGAGGATCACTTGGGCCCAGGTGGTCGAGGCTGCAGTGAGCCATGATGACACCACTGCACTCCAGCCTGGGTAAGATATGTGGAAATCACAAGGAACAGTGGAGGATCTCATACTAGTAACAGTAGAACTGTCACAACCCATACGTCCAAAGAGATGAGAACAGAGAGAAGTTAGAGAAATCCCAAGTGAGATTTTTTTGCAGAGCAAACCACCATGCAAGAAGCAATGACCTTCTGTCAAGGGACATAAATAAGCAGCTTGAGGCAATCTCAGAGAGGAGCTCAGGGACATAGATACCCTGACCTCGATCTCCTCTTCTGTCTCCTGCCAGGAATCCCCAATGGCTGAACCCAAATGGAAGACAGAGGGCACAGCAAGAAGCCCCTTGTAGTTCCCACAGGCAGCCCCGGGGCAGAGAGCAGGATGGAAAAGAGGAAATTGATGGACACAAATGTAAAATGGAATGGTCATGGAAATACATTCCAAAACTTGAGGAGCTTTTTGGTTTGTTTGGGTCTTTTTTGTTTCATCTTGTTTTGTTTTTTGAGACAGGGTCTCTCTCTGTCGCCCAGGCTGGAGTGCAGTGGCAGGATCTTGGCTCACTGCAGCCTCTGCCTCCTGGGTTCAAGCGATTCTCCTGCCTCAGCCTCCCAAGTAGCTGGGATTACAGGAGCAGGCCACCATGCCCAGCTAATTTTTGTATTTTTAGTAGAGACAAGGTTTCACCATGTTGGTCAGGCTGGTCTTGAACTCCTGACATCAAGTGATCCACCTGTCTCAGCCTCCCAAAGTGCTGGGATTACAGGGTGAGCCACAGAGCCTGGCCCGAAACTGATGGAGTTTTAACAGAAGCTAAAGGAGAATATATAAGCTTAACTGGTTATATTAGAGAAGAAGACTGGAAAATAAGTAGCTCAGCATTTCATCAAGAAGTTAATAAAGGAACAACAACTCAGCAGACAAGGAAAAATGTGAAGAAAAAATGCTAAAGAGCAGAAATTGACAAAATAGAATACAAAATACAGAAGAGAGGATTCATAAAACCAAAAGCTGGTTCTCTGAAATAACAATATGTAAAACCTTTGACAGGCCAGGTGTGGTGGCTCACACCTGTAGGCCCAGCACTTTGGGAGGCCGAGGTGGGTGGATCACCTGAGGTCAGGAGTTCCAGACCAGCCTGGCCAACATGGTGAAACCCCGTCTCTACTAAAAATACAAAAATTAGCTGGACGTGGTGGCGGGCGCCTGTAATCCCAGCTACTTGGGAGGCTGAGACAGTAGAATCACTTGAACCCAGGAGACAGAGGTTGCAGTGAGCCGAGATTGTGCCATTGCACTCCCGCCTGGGTGACAGAGTGAGACTCCATCTCAAAAAATAAAAAAATAAATAATAATAAAACCTTTGACAGATTAAGAACAAAGAGAAAGACACAAACAATATTATGAAAAAAAGACATAGCAGACATAGCCGTGGCTTGAAAAATAAGAGAATATTATGAATAATTTTATGCTGATGAATTAGGAAATAGATAAATGACAGTTTCCTAGAAGAAATAATTAACAAAATGGAACTCAACTATGCATAGACTTATGACCATTAACAAAATGAAATCTGCCACACAAATGACCACACCCCAGTGATTTTACAGGAGATTGCTACCAAAAAAGTTAAGAAACAGATTATCCCAAACTTATACAAATGCTTCCAGATAAAGAACAATGGGAACAAACAGCTCATTCTATAAGGGTAGCATAACCTTGAAATCAAATCAAACAAAATAATAAATGAGAATTCATCCTCACTCATGGCTACTGAAACAGATATCTTAAATTAAATCAGAATTTAGAAATCCACATATTCACACATACATGTACATATTTTTTTTATTGGGTTTACTTCAGGAATGCAAGCATAATTTTACAGTAAAAAGCTCTTACAAATGGCACAGTTGCTCGCCCCTGTAATCCCAGCTACCTAGGAGGCTGAGGTAGGAGGACCACTGGAGCCCAATTGTCTAGGAGTTTGAAGCTGAATGAGCTATAATTGCACCCTGCACACTCCAGCCTGGACACCAGAAACTCCAGAAAAAAAAAAAAAAAACACCTCTGTCAATGTAATTCACCATAGTAAAACAAATTAAATAAGAGAAATTATTTGATTCATTTGATCAGACACAGGAAAACCATTGATATAAATGCACATCCATTCACAAAATGTTTTAAAAACCTTAACAAACTACATAAAGAAACTTCCTTAATCTAATAAAATGTATCTACCAAAAATGCAGAGTAAACAGCATCCTAGTTAATAATTAGACATTTAAAGTCAGTAACAATAATGCGTTCTATTATTACGTCTACTCAATATTATTCTAGAGGTTCTAACCATGGCAGTGAGACAAGAATAGGCAGTAAATTAAAAACCTATATTCAGGGGCCAGGCGCCTTGGTTCACGCCTATAATCCCAACACTTTGGGAGGCCTAAGTGGAAGCATCGCCTGGAGCCAGGTGTTTGAGAGCAGCCCAGACAACATAGTGAGACCTCATTGCTACAAAAAAGAAATTGTTTTTTAATTATTCAGGCATGGTGGCACATGCCTGTGGTCCCAGCTACCTGGGAGGCTAAGATGGGAGGATCACTTGAGTCCAGGAGGTTGAGCCATGACTGCACCACTGCACTCCAGCCTGGGAGATGGAGTGGGACCCTATCTCAAAAAAAAAAAAAAAAAAAAAAAAATCTATATTCATGTATGGAAAGACTCAATATTATAAAGATGCCAGTTTTCCATATATTAGTCAGCAAATTCAATGTAATTTCTTTTTTTTTTCCTTGAGATGGAATCTCGCTCTGTCGCCCAGGCTGGAGTGCAGTGGTGTGATCTCGGCTCACTGCAAGCTCCGCCTCCCGAGTTCAGGCCATTCTCCTGCCTCAGCCTCCCGAGTAGCTGGGACTACAGGCGCCCCTCACAATGCCCGGCTAATTTTTTGTATTTTTAGTAGAGACGGGGTTTCACCGTGTTGGCCAGGATGGTCTCGATCTCCTGACCTGGTGATCCGCCCGCCTCGGCCTCCCAAAGTGCTGGGATCACAGGCGTGACCCACTGCACCCGGCCAATTCAATGTAATTTCAATCAAAATCTCACAGAGTTTCTAAGCATTTGTGTAAGGTTATTTTTAAATTCACGAGTAAAGAGTCAACAATAATCAAAACACTTTTGAAGTAAAAGGACTTGTGGAAGTCTTGCCCTACCTTGTATTAAGAATTTTTAGGCCGGGCGCGGTGGCTCACGCCTGTGATCCCAGCACTTTGGGAGGCCGAGGCGGGTGGATCACGAGGTCAGGAGATCGAGACCATCCTGGCTAACACGGTGAAACCCCGTCTCTACTAAAAACACAAAAAATTAGCCGGGCGCGTTGGCGGCCGCCTGTAGTCCCAGCTACTCGGGAGGCTGAGGCAGGAGAATCACTTGAACCCAGGAGGCGGAGCTTGCAATGAGCCGAGATCGCGCCAGTGTACTCCAGCCTGGGCGACAGCGCAAGACAAGGAAAAAAAAAAAAGAATTTTTATAGGCCGGGCACAGTGGCTCACACCTGTAATCCCAGCACTTTGGGAGGCCAAGGCAGGCGGACTTCTTGAGGTCAGGAACTCAAGACCAGCCTAGCCAACATGGTGAAACCCTGTCTCTACTAAAAATACAAAAATTAGCTTGGGTGGGGGGGGGCGGGCGGTTGGCACGTGCCTGTAATGCCAGCTCCTTGGGAGGCTGAGGCAGGAGAATCGCTTGAGCCCGGGGGACAGAAGTTGTAATGAGCCGAGACTGAGCCACTGTACTCTAGCCTGGGTGACAGGAACAAGACTCTGTCTCAAAAAAAAAATTATTATAAAGGTGTAGTAACTAAGACTACTCACACTGTGTGGTATTGATAGGGAGTGAACAAATCCAGTACAGAATAGAGAGTCCACAAACAGACACGAATATATACAGACAGTGCGGCAGAAGTGGCATGACTAACCAATGGAGGAAGGGATGCACTGTGACCCAGGGTTCCAATCCCAAATCGGATACAAAAATACATTATATATTTCTGAAAGATTTAAATGAGAATAACAAAACTTGACAACTTTCTTTTTTTTGGTGGGGGGGTTGAGGGGACGGAATTTGGCTCTCGTCGCCCAGGCTGGAGTGCAGCGGCGCAGTCTCAGCTCACCACAACCTCCGCCTCCTGGGTTCAAGTGATTCTCCCGCCTCAGCTTCCTGAGTAGCTGGGATTACAGACACGCGCCACTATGCCTGGCTAATTTTGTATTTTTAGCAGAGACAGGTTTCTCCATGTTGGCCAGACTGGTCTTGAACTCCCAACCTCAGGTGATCCCCGCCCACCTCGGCCTCCCAAAGTGCCGGGATTACAGGCATGAGCCACTGCACCTGGCTGAAACTTGACAACTTTCACAAGAAAATATAGGGGCTTATTCTAGTGATTTCTAATAGAACTGCTTTGCACAACTTAAAGGGGATGCCGTCCACTCTGCATCCCAGGAAATGCCATCCACACAACACAACATAACTGGACAGCCTTGAAGTTGTGGATCATGAAAGTCCAGCTTGAGGAAGGGGAAGATTTTATAAAGAAGACACGAAATCAGAAACCATAAGGGCAATGACTAATAAAGTTGACTTCATTAAAATTAGAAACATCTGTTGGCCAGGCACAGTGGTTCACTCCTGTTATCACAGCACTTTGGAAGGCTGAGGCAGGCGGGTCCCTTGAGGCCTAGAGTTTGAGAGCAGCCTGGCCAACATGGTGAAACCCCGTCTCTACCAAAAATGCAAAAACTAGCTGGGCATGGTAGCACATACCTGTAGTCCCAGCTACTCAGGAGGCTGAGGCATGAGAATCACTAGAACCTGGGAGGCAGAGGTTGCAGTGAACTGAGATCTCGCCGCTGCACTCCAGCCTGGGCAACGGAGTGAGACTGTCTCAAAAAAAAATTAAAAAAAGAAACATCTGTAATGTAAGAAGTGAAACTGGGATTTGAACCCAGACAAAATGAATTGACAGAAAGTTTGGGGAGGTGATGTGCATAGCAATTAGTATTTTAAAAAAAAGTTCAAAGAATAAAAATATTTCAGTTATTTTTCAGCACTTCTCAGGTGGGCCAATATCGCTACCACCAAAAAGACATATTATATTGTGGGACAGGCATTAAGTTGTTTAGGGTATTGGATGTTATGTCGGGAAAACGAAATTTAGCTAGCTTAAATAGCAAGGTGAGCTAGGGTAGGGCCTGTGTTGGGTACCACAGGGCTCCAGCTCTGCCTCTGATTCTCTTGACTTTCCCAGGACTGTCTGAGCTTTGTTCTAGGCTGGTAGCAAGACAGCTGCAGTAGTCTGAAGCATCACATTCAGGTACAGTGACATGCAAAGGAAGAAGCATCAGCTCATCTCTTCTGTGAGAAAGGACACATTTCCTAGAAGTCTCCTGGGAGAGACATTCCTTCAAAATTCGTCTGAATTGAGTCTGAATTGAGTCACAATTCTGTTCCTAAACCAGTCTCTGCCAAGGGATGTGAGATAAACATAACTGGTGTAGTAAAGCATATGGCTTTGTGGAGGAAGGTGGATACCTCCCCAAAGTTTGGTGCTTTTAAGGAGAAAGAAGGAGGGGAATGAATGTTAATTAGGCAATTAACAAAATCTGCTCCATTCATGAAGCTTCACTATGAGCACCGTGAAACATTCCCACACTTCCCTTCGTTCTGATTCCACCTTTACCTAGAATCTTTCTGATTGACACTTAACTTTTCCAGATTTCTTGATACTAGGAAAGTACTGAATGAGTCTGTCAGTCACTGAAAACATCTATCTCTCACTATTAAATTTAAAAATTGATATTTTGGTTTAGGGTTAGGGTTTTCTGTTCCTACGATTTTTGCTATTTCTAGAATGTTATGTAAATGGAGTCAAACAGAATGCAGTAGCCTTTCGAGTCTGGCTTCTTACACTTAGCATAATGCATTTAAAGTTCCTCATGGCGGTGTCTGCGTCTGTATCTTTTTCCTTTTCATTGCTGAGTATCAGTCCATCATAAGGATGCATCCCAGTCTGTCTATCCATTCCCCAGTTGAAGGGCATTTGGGTTATCTCGTTAGGGGCAATTATGAATAAAGCTACTATAAACTCATGTACAAGTTTCTGTATGAACATAAGTTTTCATTTCTCTTCTAAAAACACCTACACGAGGAATTGCTGGCTCATATAGTGAGTGTATTTTTTTTTTTTTTTTTTTTTTTGAGATGGAGTCTCACTCTGTCGCCCAGGCTGGAGTGCTGTGGTGCAATTTCGACTCACACAACCTCCGCTTCCCGGGTTCAAGCGATTCTCCTGCCTCAGCCTCCCGAGTAGCTGGGATTGGAGTCACCCACCACCATGCCTGGCTAATTTTTGTATTTTTAGTAGAGATGGGGTTTCACCATGTTGGCCAGGCTGGTCTTGAAGTCCTAACCTCAGGTGATCTGCCCGCTTCAGCCTCCCAAAGTGCTGGGATTACAGGCGTGAACCATCCTATCAGGCTGTGAGTGTATGTTTGACATTATAAGAAGCTGAAAAACTGTCCTGTGATTCCTTATTTTTTATTTAATTTTTATTTTTTTTTAGACGGAGTCTCGCTGTGTCGCCCAGGCTTGAGTGCAATGGCACAATCTCGGCTCACTGCAACCTCCGTCTCCCGGGTTCAAGCATGTTCTCCTGCCTCAGCCTCCCAAGTAGCTGAGATTACAGGCATGCGCCACCACTCCCGGCTAATTTTTGTATTTTTAGTACAGATGGGGTTTCTCCATGTTAATCAGGCTGGTCTTGAACTCCTGAGCTCAGGTGATCCACCCACCTCGGCCTCCCAAAGTGCTGGGATTACAGGCGTGAGCCACCATGCCTGGCCTGGCCTGTGATTCTTAAATGTCAATTTGGGGAAGATATCTGGCAACCATCACTTTAACCAAGTGATCCAACTTAACATTAATGAGTGGGACAACCTGATAATTTTGATGTGATGCGTTAGGAAATGTTCAGTATCACCTATGACATATTCTTGGCAAAACTGTACCAATCAAGCCTCTAGGCCTAATTTCCAGACTACAAAAAGTATAGGAAGATCAAGATACAAGTTAAAGGAGGCCATGAGGAAGCACTCAGGCAAATCTAGACTATGGGCATTCATAAGATAACTGTCCTGGTCTCTTCAAAAAGTGAACGTCAGCCGGGCTCGGTGGCTTACGCCTGTCCATCCAGCACTTTGGGAGGCCGAGGCAAGCGGATCACCTGAGGTCAGGAGTTCGAGACCAGCCTGACCAACACGGCGAAACACCATCACTACCAAAAATACAAAAATTAGCCTGGCATGGAGGGAGGCGCCTGTAATCCCAGCCACTGGGGAGGCTGAGGCAGGAGAATCACCTGAACCCAGGAGGCAGAGGCTGCAGTGAGCCAAGATCGTGCCACTGCACTCCAGCCTGGGCCACAGACCAAGACTCAGTCTCAAAAAAAAAAAAAATTAATTTAATTTAATTTAAAAGGCCAGGCACGGTGGCTCACACCTGTAATCCCAGCACCTTGGGAGGCCAAGGTGGGAGGATCACTGGAGGTCAGGAGTTGGAGACCAGCCTGGCCAAGAGAGGGAAACAGGGGAACTGTTATGAATGAAAAGAGAGTAAAGACATTACAGGAAGATGCAAAGCTTTGATTGAATCCTGGTCATTAAAAGCAATCTTCCTGCCTCGGCCTCCCAAAGTGCTGGAATTATGGGCATGAGCCACAGCTCAACTGAATTTCTCCCAAGGGCCAGGTGCCGTGGCTCATACTTGTAATAGCGCTTTGGGAGGCTGAGGTGGAAGGATCACTTAAACCCAGGAGTTTGAGAGCAGCAACATAACAAGACTCTATCTCTACAAAATTAATTAATTAATTAATTAAAAATTAGCTGGGCATGGTGGCA
Organism: Homo sapiens; assembly: GCF_000001405.40. NCBI lineage: Eukaryota > Metazoa > Chordata > Mammalia > Primates > Hominidae > Homo > Homo sapiens. The sequence continues at coordinate 196,443,461 of NC_000003.12, forward strand.
CAGGCAGCTTGCTCGGAGGGCTTAGATGGGAGGACTCTAACCACCCAGCAGGTTCACCTTGCCCACTGCCTAGATAGAGCTGATTTACCAAGACAGGAAAATTTAAACAAAGAAACAGCGATTCACAGCCGGCTGCATGGGAGACCAGAGTGTTGTGTTTTATTGTGTTTTGTTTTGTTTTGTTTGAGACGGAGTCTCACTCTGTTGCCCAGGCTGGAGTGCAGGGACACAATCTCGGCTCACTGCAACCTCTGCCTCCAGAGTTCAAGCGATTATCCTGCCTCGGCTGCCCTCGTAACTGGGATAACAGTCGAGCGCCACCACGCCCAGCTAATTTTTTATATTTTTGGTAGAGACGGGGTTTCACCATATTAGCCAGGATGGTCTCGATCTCCTGACCTCAAGATCCGCCCACCTCGGCCTCCCAAAGTGCTGGGATTACAGGCGTGAGCCACCACGCCCGGCCTGGGACGGGAGATTTATTACTACTCAAATCAGTTTCCCCTAGCACTTAGAGATTTTTAGGATAATTTGGTTGGGGGTTGGGGGTTGGGGGGCAGTGAGTCAGGAGTGCTGATTGATTGGTTCGGAGATGAAGATGTAAGAAGTGGGAGCTGTCTTCTTGTGCTGAGTCAGTTCCTGGGTCGGGGCCAGAAGATCAGATGAGCCAGTTTATCCATCTGGGTGGTGCCAGCTGATCCATCAAGTGCAGAGTCTGCAAAGTATCCCAAGCGCTGATCTTAGGTTTTACAATAGTGATGTTATCTCCAGGAGAAATTCAGAGAGGGTCAGAATCTTACAGCCTCCTCGGAGGTTGCAGTGAACCAAGATCAAACTACTGCACTCCAGCCTGGGTGACACAGCAAGACTCCGTCTCAGGAAACAAAAGAAAAAGAAAATGAAAAAAAACCCACAATCTTACAGCTTCCAGCTTCATGGCTCGTAAACTGTAATTTCTATCTTTTGGCTAATTTGTTAGTCCTACAGAAGCAGTCTACTCCCCATGCAAGAAGAGGGTTTGTTTTGGGAAAGGGCTGCTATTGTTTTGGTTTCAAACTATAAACTAAGTTTCTCCCAAAGTTAGTTTGGCCCAGGAATGAACAAGGACAGCTTGGAAAAGTTTTGACAAAGGAAGGAAGGAAAAAAGGGAGGGAGAGAGGGAGGGAGGGAAGGAGGAAGGAAGGAAAGAAGGGAGCGAGGGAAGGAAGGAAGGAAGGAAGGAAGGAAGGAAGGAAGGAAGGAAGGAAGGAAGATGGAGTCGGTTAGGTCAGATCTCTTTTACTGTCTCAGTTATAGTCTTGCAATGGTAGTTTCATGATCACTTGAGCCCAGAAGGTCCAGCCTGCAGTGAGCTGTGATTGAGCCACTACACTCAGCCTGGGCTATACAGAGTGAGACCCTGTGTCACTAGCAATGATAATGATAATAATAACTTTTAAAAGTTTAAAAAGAAATAAATTTAATTTACCCTTAAACTTGAAAGCAAGGATGATAACAGTCCCTCCCTAAAACTAATCCCCTCCTTGCTCAAGGACCAAAAACTGCCTTTGTGGAACCAATAAAAGGCCACAAGATTAGGATTGTGGGAGGGGCCTGAACTCTGCTAAAATGTAAGCGTAGTTTATTTTTCTTTTCTTTCTTCTTTTTTGAGACTGAGTTTTGCTCTTGTTGCCCAGGCTGGAATGCAGTGGTGCAATCTCAACTTACCGCAACCTCCGCCTCCCGGGTTCAAGCAATTCTCCTGCCTCGGCCTCCGAAGCAGATGGGATTACAGACGCCTGCCACCATGCCCAGCTAATTTTTGTATTTTTAGTAGAGACAGAGTTTCACCGTATTGGCCAGGCTGGTCTCAAACTCCTGAACTCAGGTAATCTACCTGCCTCCACCTCCCAAAGTGCTAGGATTACAGGCGTGAGCCACCACGCCCAGCCTGTAAGTGTAGTTTCTATAATCCCTTTCTACTCAGGAATCATGTGGCCAGAAGCCACAAAACAGGTGTAGTTTCTCCATCCCCAGTTGCTTCTATAGATATTGTCACTATTGCAGAACCTACGATTACTTTTTTGAGATTTTTCTTTGGACTGACCACCTGGGCTTGGGACTCATGACTGTGGCCCCACCTAGAGGTGAACTCAGCACACATGGACTGTTTTCCACACCCCTCTCTCTTTTTTTTTTTTTTTTTTTGAGATGGAGTTTCGTTCTTGTCACCCAGGCTGGAGTGCAATGGCATGATCTCGGCTTATTGCAACCTCCGCCTCCCGGGTTCAAGCGATTCTCCTGCCTCAGCCTCCCAAGCAGCTGGGATTACAGGCATGTGCCACCACGCTCGGCTAATTTTGTATTTTTAGTAGCGACGGGTTTCACCATGTTGGCCAGGCTGGTCTCGAACTCCTGACCTCAGGTGATCCGCCCGCCTTGGCCTCCCGAAGTGCTGGGATTACAGGCGTGAGCCACCATGCCCTGCCACACCCCTATAATTTTATATCCAACCAATCAGCAGCACTCATTTTCTAGCCCCTTGCCCACCAAATTGTCCGCAAAAACCCTAACCTTCAAGCCTTGGGAGAGACTAATTTGAGTAGTAACTCCGTCTCAAATGTGGTTGGCGTCACATTAATTAAACTCTTTTTTTATGGCAATACCATGGTCTCAGTGAACTGGTTTTGTCTGTGCAGTGGGCAGGAAGAATCCATCAGGCAATCAAAATTTCTACTTTTTTTTTTTTTTTTTTTTTTTGAGACAGAGTCTCGCTCCGTCACCCAGACTGGAGTGCAATGGTGAGATCTCGGCTCACTGCAACCTCCGCCTCCCGGGGTCAAGCAAGTCTCTTGCCTCAGCCTCCTGAGTAGCTGAGATTACAGGCATGCACCACCACGCCTGGCTAATTTTTGTATTTTTAGTAGAGATGGGCTTCACCATGTTGGTCAGGCTGGTCTCAAACTCCTGACCTCAGGTGATCTGCCCTCCTCGGCCTCCCAAAGTGCTGGGATTACAGGCTGAGCCACCGCACCCAGCCCACATAATTTTGTAAAAAAAAATAATAATAATAAGCAGCTCAGAGTAAAAAAGAAAATGCCTAAGTACACACACAAAATCCAAGTACCATGTATTAGAAGCAGTATGAACAACAGATAGAGTGAACAGACTTGCAAATAGTTCAATACTGGAATTTCAGACATTGATTTATATAATAAGTATGTGGCCAGGTGAGGTGGCTCATGCCTGTAATCCCAGCACTTTGGGAGGCTGAGGCGGGAAAATCACCTGACGTCAGAAAATTGAGACCAGCCTGGCCAACATGGTGAAACCCTCGCTCTACTAAAAACACAAAAATTAGCCAGGTGTGGTGGTGCATACCTGTAATTCCAGCTACTTGGGAGGCTGAGGCAGGAGAATTGCTTGAACCCAGGAGGCAGAGGTTGCAGTGAGCCGAGATCATGCCACTGCACTCCAGCCTGGGCGACAGAGTGAGACTCCATTTCAAAAAAAATAAAATAAAATAAAATAATAAAATAAAATATGTTTATCATGGGTGAAGAAATTGTAATCCCAGCCTGAACAATATAGCAAAACCCTGTCTGTACAAACAAATAAAATAAAATCAGCTGGGTGTGGTAGCATACGTCTGTAGTCCCATCTACTTGACGGGCAGCTGGGTGTGGTAGTGTATGTCTGTAGTCCCAACTACTTGACAGGCTGAGATGGGAGGATTGCTTGAGGCCAAGAACTTGAGGCTGCAGTGAACTATGACCGCATCACCGCACTCCAGCCTGGGTGGCAGTGAGACCCTAGGAAAAGAAAAAAAAAAAGCACCACTGCGTTCCAGTCTGGGTGACAGAGCGAGATGCGAGACTCAAAAAAAAAAGTGTAAGAATTTGTTGAGGTCTAAGATGGGACATTTCTCCAGAGGGAATTTACATTTGCTCCTGCCTGGCATTGATGGGCACTACCACACCAGTAGCAACTAACTCAACTCATCATTTGAAGCTTTCTGAACCACACACGCAATATGAATTTGGGCTGCAAATCAACATGTAAGAACTGCCCAGGGGCTACAGCTTCTCAGGACAGCCCCCTCTCCTCACCCCCCATCACCAAGGTAACCTTGCTTGCAGCCTCACAATGCAAGGAGTAGAAGGGCTGTTTACTTCTGGTTCTCGTTACCAGAGAGGTCCTAGTGTTTTGTGGAGCATTTCCTATTAGATCTCTTTTGGCAGATAAACTGTGTGCCCCCTTCCTCCCAACAGATTCCTGTGTTGAAGCTCTCACTCCCCAGTACCTCAGAATGGTACTGTATCCCTTTAAGGAGGGGATTAAGTTAAAATGAAGCCTTAGGGTGGGCCATGATCCAATCTGACTGTGTCCTTATATGAAGGGAAATGGGCCGGGCACGGTGGTTCACGCCTGTAATCCCAGCACCTTGGAAGGCCAAGGTGGGCAGATCACCTGAGGTCAGGAGATTAAGACCATCCTGACCAACATGGTGAAAACCTGTCTCTACTAAAAATACAAAAATTAGCTGGGCGTGGTAGTGGGTGCCTGGTAATCCCAGCTACTTGGGAGCCTGAGGCAGGAGAATCGCTTGAACCCAGGAGGCGGAGGTTGCAGTGAGCTGAGATCACACCATTGCACTCCAGCCTGGTCAACAAGAGGGAAACTCCATCTCAAAAAAAAAAAAAAAGAAGAGGAAATTAGGACACACAGAGAGACACCAGGGGCAAGGGAGCACGCACAGAGGAGAGACCACAGGAACATACAGCAAGAAGGCATCTCTCTGCAAGCCAAGCACGGGGTCCTTCGGATGAAGCCAGACCTGCCAGTCTTGATCTTGGACTTCCAGCCTCTAGGACTGTGGGAAAATACATTTCTGTTATTTGAGCCCCCAGTCTATGGTATTTTATTATGGCAGCCCTAGCAAACTAATGCAATTCCCCACCTTTGGTGGCCTTGGCCTTTGACTTTTTTATTTCACAGCCCCTTGGGGTTTCACTCTTGTCGCCCAGGCTGGAGTGCAATGCTGTGCATTCTTGGCTCACTGCAACCTCCGCCTGTCAAGTTCAAGCAATTCTCCTGCCTCAGCCTCCAGAGTAGCTGGGATTACAGGCACCCACCACCACGCCCGGCTAAATTTTTTGTATTTTTAGTAGAGACGGGGTTTCACCATGTTGGCCAGGTTGATCTCGAACTCCTGACCTCAGGTGATCCGCCCGCCTCGGCCTCCCAAAGTGCTGGGATTACAGGCATGAGCCACTGTGCCCAGCCACCACTTCCTTTTCTTTTCTTTCTTTCTTTCTTTTTTTTTTTTTTTTTTTTGAGATGGAGTCTTGCTCAGTTGCCCAGGCTGGAGTGCAATGGCATGATCTCAGCTTACTGCAACCTCCACCTCCCGAGTTCAAGCAATTCTTCCACCTCAGCCTCCCTAGTAGCTGGGATTACAGACGTGAGCCACCATGCCCGGCTAATTTTTGTAGAGACAGGGTTTCACCATGTTGGCCAGGCTGGTCTCAAACTCCTGACCTCAGGTGATCCGCCCGCCTTGGCCTCCCAAAGTGCTGGGATTCCAGGTGTGAGCCACCGCGCCCGGACTTCCTTTTCTTTTCTGAGATTTGATTTGTCCCACTCATTCCTTACTATCTTGCCACCTCTGTGATGACGTTAAGAGGTATATTTGTTTGTTTTAAAACAATATCCAGCTTTTCAGTTATTCTCATTGTCTATCCAAATACCTTCCCCCACAGATCAGCTAAAAGGTAGAGAAGTCAAGAAATGACAGCAGAGGGACCGAGGAGCTGATGAGGAAAAAGTGAAGGGCAACTTCAAGGTTTTCAGCCTGGGAGGAGGTTTAAAAAATGGTTTCAAAAAAATAAAAATAAAAATAAATAAAAGAAACAAAACAAAACAAAAAAATGAAAAAAAGTTGGTTTCTAGCAAGAAAAGAAAGAAAAGCAAAGGTCAGAAAGAAAAGCAAATTTTCAGAGAACAACCGACTTTGGTTTGTATCTGTACTGGACACGTATAAGTTTTTGTTTTGTTTTGTTTTTGGTCATTGTTCACTAAACAATACAATATAACAACTATTGCATAGCATTTATGTGTTTTTTGTTTTGTTTTGTTTTGTTTTTTTGAGACGGAGTCTCATTCTGTCGCCCAGGCTGAAGTGCAGTGGTGTGATCATGGCTCCCTGCAACCTCCACCTGGGTTCAAGCAACTCTCCTGCCTCAGCCTCCTGAGTAGCTGGGACTAAAGGCATGCGCCACCACACTCAGTTAATTTTTGTATTTTTAGTAGAGATGGGGTTTCACCATGTTGGCCAGGCTGGTCTCGAACTCCTGACCTCAGATGATCTGCCCATCTCGGCCTCCCAAAGTGCTGGGATTACAGGCGTGAGCCACTGCGCCTGGTCTAATTTTTGTATTTTTTGTAGAGACAAAGTTTTGCCAGGTTGCCCAGGCTGGTCTTGAATTTCTAACCTCAAGTGATCCACCTATCTCAGCCTCCGAAAGTGCTGGGATTATGGGTGTGAGCCACCACACCTGGCCATTTATGTTGTTATTAGGTATCCTAAGTAACCTAGACATGATTTAAAGTATACAGGAAGATGTATGTAGGTTATATGCAAATACTACACATTTTATATCAGGAGTTTGAGCATCCTCAGATTTTGGTGTGTGTGTGTGTGTGTGTCTTGTAAGATGGATTCTCACTGTCTCCCAGGATTGAATATCCTCAGATTTTGTGTGTGTGTGTGTGTGTGTGTGTGTGTGTGTGTGTGTGTGTGTGTGTGTGTTTTGTAAGACAGTCTCACTCTGTCTCCCAGGCTGGAATGCCGTGGCGCAATCTCTGCTCACTGCAACCTCTGCCTCCCGGGTTCAAGCGATTCTCTTGCCTCAGCCTCCTAAGTAGCTGGGATCATAGGTGACTGCCACCAAGCCTGGCTACTTTTTTTTTTTTTCAGATGGAGTCTTGCCCTGTTTCCCAGGCTGGAGTGCGGTGCCACGATCTCAGCTCACTGCGACCTCCACCTCCCAGGTTCAAGCGATTCTTCTGCCTCAGCCTCCCGAGTAGCTGGGATTATAGGCACGTGCCACCACGCCCAGCTAATTTTTGTATTTTTAGTAGAGATGGAGTTTCACCATGTTGGCCAGGCTGGTCTCAAACTCCTGACCTTAGGTAATCTGCCTACCTCGGCCTCCCAAAGTGCTGGGATTACAGACGTGAGCCACCGCATCCAGCCCCAGCTAATTTTTTTTTTGGATTTTTAGTAGAGATGGGTTTTCACCATGTTGGTCAGGCTGGTCTCGAACTCCTGACGTCAAGTGATCCGCTCACCTCAGTTTCCCAAAGTGCTGGGATTACAAGCGTGAGCCACCATGCCTGGCTAATCCTCAAATTTTGATATCCAAGGGACTTCCTGGAACCAATTCCCCATGGACACGCAGGGAAAATTGTAATAGTAAGACATCAAAAGGTAAGAAAGGAATAACATTTTCAGTCAAATGAGAATTGCTATATTGTAAGTGTGTATCTTCATACACAAACTCATGTAACAGGAAATATAATTTTATTTTTCTATAACTCAGTTTAACAATTTAACAATTTAACTTTTATTATTCCCATCAGCACCATAGGAAAAGTAACAATGAAAAAAAACTGTTACTATTCCCAGACCAGGGAATCCTTATGTAGTCTAAGGATGTGGTAGCCTGTTTACTTGTCATCAATTCTACCAAATCTATCGGCCATAGCCTTTTTTTTTTTTTTTTTGAGACAAGGGTCTCTGTCACCTGGACTGGAGTGCGGTAGCATGATCATAGCTCACTGCAGCCTCAAGCTCCTGGCCTCAAGAGATTCTCCCACCTCAGCCTCCCAAAGCACCGGGATACACATGAGACATGACACCTGGCTATAGTCAAGTTTTGTTTGACCCATCTGCAGGTTTTAAAATTCAAAAGCTGGCCAGGCATGGTGGCTCAAACCAGTAATCCCTGCACCTGGGAGGCTGAGGTGAGTGGATTACCTGAACTCAGGAGTCTGAGACCAGCCTGGCCAACATGGCAAAACCCCGTTTCTACTAAAAACACAAAAATTAGCCCAGTATGGTGGTGTGCACCTGTTGTCCCAGCTACTCCGGGGGCTGAGGCAGGAGGATCACTTGAGCCTTGGGAGGCTGAGGTTGCAGTGAGCCATGATCTCCAGCCTCAGTAACAGAGGGAGACCCTGTCTCCAAAAAAAAAAAAAAAAAAAAAAAAAAAAAAAAAAAGCAAAGGCTGTGGCTGCAGGTCACACCTCTAATCTCATCACTCCGGGAGGCCAAGGCAGGAGGATGCCTTGAGGCCAAGAGTTCAAGACTAGCCTGGACAACATAAGAGACCTTCTCTCTCCAAAAAGTTTAAAAAATGACCAGGTGGGGTGGTACACTCACGTAGTCCTAGCTACTCAGGAGGCTGAGGTGGAAGGATCACTTGAGCCCAGGAGTTGGAGGTTACAGCAAACTATGATCACGCCACCATACTCCAGCCTAGACAAGAGAGCAAGACTTTGTCTCTCTTTTTTTAATAAAAAACATTTTCATTTATTTATTTCAGAAGAGAACTAGAGTGAAGACCTTGTCTCTTAAAAAAAAATCAAAAGCTGACAATTGATTCCTTTCTTCCTCCTTCCCCTAACCTGCTACCATGTCAATGGCATTAGTTAGGAGTGGTTTTGGCTGCAAATAACAGAACATTTGAATACCAGAGGCTTTAGTGATTGAAGATTGTTTCTCTGTTTTTGTTTTGTTTTGTTTTGTTTTTTGTTTTTGAGATGGAGCCTCACTCTGTCGCCAGGCTGGAGTGCAGTGGCGCAGTCTTGGCTCACTGTAACCTCTGCCTCCTCCCAGGTTCAAGCGATTCTCCTGTCTCAGCCTCCCAAGTAGCTGGGACTACAGGCGCCCGCCACCACACCCCGCTAATTTTTTTGTATTTTTAGTAGAGATGGGGTTTCACCGTGTTAGCCAGGATGGTCTCGATCTCCTGACCTCGTGATCTGCCTGCCTTGGCCTCTCAAAGTGCTGGGATTACAGGCGTGAGCCACCACGCCCGGTCCCAGGAACTCCCTCTTACAAAGCAGTTCAGGGCTATGGTGGTTTAAAAATACTATCGACCAGGCACGGTGGCTCACGCCTGGGAGGCTGAGGTGAGAGGATTACTTGGGGCCAAGAGTTCAAGACCAGCCTGGGCACATATAGTGAGACCTCATCTCTACTGAAAAAAAAACAGCTGGGCATGGTGGCAAGCCCTGTAGTCCCAGCTCCTGGGGAGGCGGAGGAGGGAGTGTTGCAGGGTCCCTGCAGTGTTGGTTTTCTGGCCAGAAAACTCTGTGGCTGGTGGCACCTTTGCCCGAGTTTTACTCAGGCCCTCTGGGGTCATTTTGCCCACTCAGCCTGGCAGGCTGTGCTCAGCTCATGCTACCAGCCTGGATCTCATGCTTGCCAAGGGCGAGGCAGGTGTGGAGCAGCGAGGGGTGTGTAAGCAAGAGAACTGGGGTCTGGCATATCTTCTATTTCTGTGTCTTGCCCTGTCGGGCTTTTCCTATCACTACTGTCAACGTCCTGTAGAAAACAGAAAAAGACTGAGTGAACCAGGGGAAAATATCAAATCGTAAGATGTAAGTCTAATTACACTGATACTACAGCCGAACTGTCACTATACATTATTATTACTAATAAGGTATATTTCTTTCTTTCTTTTCTTTTTTTTTCCAGAGTCTTGCTCTGTCGCCCAGGCTGGAGTGCAGTGGCGCGGTCTCAGCTCACTGCAACCTTCACCTCCCAGGTTCAAGTGATTCTCCTGCCTCAGCCTCCCAAGTAGATGTATATTTATTCTTAACAGTATTTTTATTTCATGGGCAAATTTAGATTAAGCTATTACTTCATTTTCATTCCCTTTTAATGATTGTGTTACAATATAAATTGTTCCTTTTGTAAAGCTACTATATATCTTAATTTTTTAGTTAAAAACATTATCCTCAGGAAATGTTGGGGCGAGGAGAACTCGGAGTTTGTCTAAGGCTGTCACCTTGCTATGTTGTTTTGGAGCTTGCAGGGGTCTGGGGCTCAAGGTCTCATTCTCTAGGAGCTCACACTGCAGCTGAACTTGTAATGCTGCTTTTTTTTTTTTTTTTTTTTTTGAGACAGAGTCTTGTTCTGTCGCCTAGGCTGGACTGCAGTGGTGCGATCTCGGCTCACTGCAACCTCCACCTCCCGGATTCAAGAGATTCTCTTGCCTCAGCCTCCCAAGTAGCTGGGATTACAGCCGCGCACCACCATGCCCAGCTAATTTTTGTATTTTTTAGTAGAGATGGGGTTTCACCATGTTGGCCAGGCTGGTCTTGACCTCCTGACCTGGTGATCCGCCTGCTTCGGCCTCCCAGAGTGCTGGGATTACAGGCGTGAGCCACTGCGCCTGGCCAATGCTTCTTTTTTTTGAGATGGAGTCTCACTCTGTCACCCAGGCTGGAGTGCAGTGGTGCAATCTTGGCTCACTGCAACCTCTGCCTCCCGGGTTTCAGTGATCCTTTTGCCTCAGCTTGCTGAGTAGCTGGGATTACAGGTGCCTGCTACCACGCCCGGCTAGTTTTTGTATTTTTAGTCGAGACAGAGTTTCACCATATTGGTCAGACTGGTCTTGAACTCCTGACCTTAGCTGATCCACCCACCTTGGCCTCCCACAGTGCTGGGATTACAGGTGTGAGCCACCGCGCCCAGCCAACATCAGGTATACTTACAAATCTATTTTCTTGTGTTGAGTTCGTTCTGTTTCTCTCTGAAAGGTAGATTTTTGAAATGCAAAAGCATGAAACTAACTTCTTTTTCTCCCAGGTGAACCCTTTCCTGAAGGAAGAAATGGAGAACGGCCCAGATGACTAAATCAGAGAAGGACCACATAATCCAAGGATAGGGTAAAATATTGGTTAATATTTTAAAAACTTATCCTATCACATATATGCGATGTCACTGAATCTTTTCAACAATTTTATGAGAAATAAATTCTATTTTACAATTTAGGAGAGAGGTTAGGGCTACACAGCTAGAAGCAGAATTTGGCCAGGCACAGTGGCTCACGCCTGTAATCCCAGATACTCGGGAGGCTGAGGCAGGAGAATTGCTCGAACCTGGGAGGTGGAGGTTGCAGTGAGCTGAGATTGTGCCATTGCACTCCAGCCTGGGTGACACAGCGAGACTGCATCTCAAAAAACAAAGAAAACAAAACAAAAAATAGAAGCAGAATTTGAATCCATGTCTATCTGATTCTAGGATCCTGTCCTTGCCATCTCATTGTACAATACCTACAGGCATTTTAAAAGTGTAACTTGAATGTTCCAGTTCTTATCAGCCTAGGGGTGCAAATAAGGTCACATCAGCACTTACCCACAATTTTGCTGGCAGGTCACCCCTCATTTGCTCACACAGAACCTCAGCTTCCTTCAAAATGCCTCCCCAAAAGATTCTTGTAGCTATCCAAGAACGAGTTTCCTTTATTAAGTACTGCCGCGCTCTCATCTCCTTGGCAAGGAGAACTGACACGAACATGATATTCTTGCTGCTTGCTGTGCCATGAGTAATAAAGTCCTTTTTCTCATACCAGGAATTTGATGTCTTCTGCCAACACTCATGAAGCAGTAATAGGCTAACTTATTAGCTTGTGAGTAGGGTAAAATCATCCCAGCCCTGACACATGGCACAGGCTTGAGGTCAGGTGCTATGTGGTGGCAACCACAAGAAGCTGTTGAGAGTCCAGTGACAACTGGGTACTATAGGCCGGGCCCAGTGGCTCCCGCCTGTAATCCCAGCACTTTGGGAGGCTGAGGCAGGAGGACTGCTTGAGCCCAGGAGTTTGAGATCACCCTGAGCAATATAGGGAGATTTTTTTTTTTTTTTTTGAGACAGAGTCTCACTCTGTTGCCCAGGCTGGAGTGCAGTAGCGTGATCTCGGCTCACTACAACCTCTGCCTCCCAGGCTTAAGTGATTCTCCCACTTCCACCTCCTGAGTAGCTGGGATTACAGGCTCTTGCTGCCACACCCGGCTAATTTTTTTGTATTTTAGTAAAGATGGGGTTTCATCATGTTGCCCAGGGTGGTTTTGAACTGAGCTCAGCCAATCCACCTGCCTTGGCCTCCCAAAGTGCTGGGATTACAGGCAAGAGCCACCGCGCCCGACCAATATAGGGAGATCTTGTCTCTACCATTTTTTTTTTTTTTAATTAGCTGGGCATGGTAGTGCATGGCTGTGGTCTCAGCCACTTAGGAGGCTGAGGTGGGAGGATCATTTGACCCAGGAGTTTGAGGTTGCAGTCAGACGAGATCACGTCACGGCACTCCAGCCTGGGCAACAGAGGGATACCTTTTCTCTAAAAAAACTAGAAGAAAGAACTGGTTGCTGTAGCAGTGGCTGCCATAAGAAAAAGGTAAACCAGAGGAATCGAAAGAAGTGTCTCTACTGTCTCTCTCTGCAAATCTCATTAGCCACTGTCCTGCTTACTCTCAATGAAGACTAGGAAAGCTAGTGCTGTCAAGCAAGAACTCCTTTGACGGCTGGGCGCGGTGGCTCACGCCTGTAATCCCAGCACTTTGGGAGGCCGAGGCAGGCAGATCACCTGAGGTCAGGAGTTTTGAGACCAGACTGGCCAACATGGAGAAACCCCATCTCTACTAAAAATACAAAAATTAGCTGGGCATGGTGGCACATACCTGTAGTCCCAGCTACTTGGGAGGCTGAGGCAGGAGAATCACTTGAACCCGGGAGGAAGAGGTTGCAGTGAGCCGAGATCGTGCCGCTGCACTCCAGCTTGGGTGACAGAGTGAGACTCCATCTCAAAAAAAAAAAAAAAAAAAAAAAAAAAGAACTGCATTTTCTGGTATGAAATCACTGATATGAGCTGACTTACTTTCTTTTTTTTTTTTTTTTTGAGACAGAGTTTCACTCTTGTTGCCCAGGCTGGGGTGGAGTGCAATGGTGTGATCTTGGCTCACTGCAACCTCCACCTCCCGGGTTCAAGTGATTCTCCTGCCTCAGCCTCCCAAGTAGCTGGGATCACAGGCAGGTGCCTCCACACTTGGCTAATTTTGTATTTTTAGTAGAGATGGGGTTTCTCCCTGTTGGTCAGGCTGGTCTTGAACTCCCAACCTCAGGTGATCCGCCCACCTGGGCCTCCCAAAGTGCTGGGATTACAGGCGAGAGCCACTGCACCCGGCCATGAGCTGACTTTCAAAATATGAGGCTGTCAATGACTGTTGGTTTTCAGGGGTGTATTCAATGAACCAAGTTGTCCCTGACTGATGTGATAGATTTATAAACTGTTCTAGTGGTTACTTGTTGGCACAGCTATAGAACAATCTATCTTTTCCTAGGAGTGTGGGAACTCTGATTTGCATTTGGAAATGTTTCTGTAACTCATTATATAGAAAGGGTCAATCTTCCTAATATACAAAGACCACCTAAGGTTGGGGGCAGTGGCCCACCCTCACAATCCCAGCACTTTGGGAGGCCAACGTGGTAGGACTGCTTGAGGCAAGGAGTTGGAGAAGAGTCTGGGCAACATAGTGAGACCCTGTCTCTACCACCCACCCTGCCAAAAAAAAAATTCAGCCAGTTATTGTTGCTCACTCATGTAGTCCCAGCTAATAGGGAGGCTGATGTAGAAGGATCGCTTGAGCCCAGGGGATCAAGGCTGTAGCGAGCTATGATCACGCCACTGCACTCCAGCCTGGGAAACAGCAACATCCTGTTAAAAAAAAAAAAAAAAAAAAAAAGCCCCTAGAAATTGAGAAGAAAACGACCAACAAACCAATAGAAAAATAGGAAAATAACTCAAATAATTACAAATGGCTCAGAACACTGGGGGACAAAAACCTAACCTCAACCCCATTCATAATAAATGTTTTCTCTTTTTTTTTTTTTTTTTTTTTTGAAACAGAGGTTTTGGTCTGTTGCCCAGGCTGGAATGCAGTGGTACAATCTCAGCTCACTGCAACCTCTGCCTCCCGGGTTCAAGCGATTCTCCTGCCTCAGCCTCCCGAATAGCTAGGATTACAGGTGTGCACCACCATACCCAGCTAATGTATTTTTAGTAGAGACAGGGTTTCTCCATGTTGGCCAGGCTGGCCTCGAACTCCTGACCTCAGGTGATCTGCCTGCCTCAGCCTCCCAAAGTGCTGCAATTACAGCCGTGAGCCACCGGGCCTGGCCACGAATGATTTTTTAAAGCCAAAGAAAAGAGCAGTGGTTAGTTCAGAACCTTTTTGGTTGCCTTAGAAACTTAGGGTTTTTGCTATTACATAACATTAAAATTGCCACTTCCTCCTCTAAAGACCTAAGTCTGAGATAATTAGCCCTCATCTTTTTTTCAGACTGTGACCTATTCTTCTCAGCCCCAAAGGAAAATTTGTTTTTAAGATCATGCTTTAAAAAGTACTACTGGTTTGCGCCCAATGCTTGGCAAGTAAAAAACAAATAAAAAGTACTATTAGTTTAAAAAGTTAAAGTCTTCTAAAATCAAACTAGCTAAATTCATGTATTTTTAGCTTTATCCAAATAAAAGATTTAAAATGTTTTCTAAGCATTTGCCAGTAGAAGGAATCAATTCATTTTTTTTTTGTTTATAAGATGCTTTTCCAGAAGTTATTCTTGAGATTCTGAGATTTTTAAGCACCGTTTTCAAGTCAATAAACTGATAATAGTGTTGTACAAATTACAGCACCTCGAGCTCTTTGTGGGTGGAAAGGTTCTCTCACATGTTAAAACCAAGTTGATTTAATATCATGTCAGTGCCTCTTGCTAGGATTGTTACACAACTCCCCTCTCTTGATTTGTTGTAATGTAGGTTTACTCTGGAGAGTTACTTCATTATGATCTATTTTTAATTAATTCCAATGCCCTCCTTTTTTTTTTTTTTTTTTTTTTTGAGATGGAGTCTTGCTGTGTCGCCCAGACTGGAGTGCAATGGTGTGATCTCGGTTCACTGCAACCTCCACCTCCCAGGTTCAGGCGATTCTCCTGCCTCAGCCTCCCAAGTAGCTGGGACTACAGGCACCTGCCATCATGCCTGGCTAATTTTTGTATTTTTAGTAGAGACGGGGTTTCACCATGTTGGCCAGGATGGTCTCGATCTCTTGACCTCATGATCTGCCCACCTCGGCCTCCCAAAGTGCTGGGATTACAGGCGTGAGACACTGTGCCTGGCAAATGCCCTCCTTTTAATAGACAGATCAGGCTGGGCACAGTGGCTCACGCCTGTAATCCCAGCAGTTTGGGAAGCTGAGGTGGGTGGATCACCTGAGGTAAGGAGTTCAAGACCAGCCTGGCCAATATGATGAAATCCCATGTTTACTAAAAATACAAAAATTAGCCAGGCGTGGTGGCACGCGCCTGTAATCCCAGCTACTCTGGAGGCTGAGGCAGGAGAATCGCTTGAACCTAGGAGGCAGAGGTTACAGTGAGCCGAGATTGTACCGCTGCACTCCAGCCTGGGAAAAAAAAAAAGATCAAATCTTATCCTGGTGTTCTATTATTTCTGGATTGTATCCTTCTAGGAGCTCTGGGAATTTAGTGATGATGTCTGATGGCTTAATTTCCTATGGAGGAAATTTCAAAGAGGGTTCACCTGGTAGGTGAGGAATTGTGGGATTTGTAGGGCTTGTAGGGGCATAGGAAAATGGGACAATGGTAGCTTTAGGTGACCACCCGTTTGTGTATGGGGATGGCAGACACAATCTTATTCTCTGAATCATCAGCTCTGGACATAATCAGAACAACAACAACAACAAAAACTAAAGAATTGGAAGTGCTTTCTGCAGGTACTTAAAGGTTCTCTAGGTGGCCGGGCACGGTGGCTCATGCTGGTAATCCCAGCACTTTGGGAGGCCGAGGCGGGTGGATCACTTGAGGTCAGGAGTTCGAGACCAGCCTGGCCAACATGGTGGAACCCCGTCTCTACTAAAAATACAAAAATTAGCTGGGCATGGTGGTGAGCGCCTGTAGTTCCAGCTACTCAGGAGGCTGAGGCAGGAGAGTCACTTGAACCTGGGAGGCAGAGGTTGCAGTGAGCCGAGATCATGCCACTGCACTCCAGCCTGGGTGACAAAGCAAGACTCCATCTCAAAAACATAAAATAAATGAAAATAAAGGTTCTCCAGTTTTCTCCTATAGATCCTTCATGAGGCTTAACTTCTCCTGGGAATTTGTGGATAAGCATCATTTTTCCACACATACTAACACCCATCTTGTCTAGATAGGAGCGTTATAGGTTTTTGCCTTAGACGTTTCAAGACACCTTAGTCCAGAATCTATTAAAGGAAAACATCTCTGGTGTGTTTTCTTTCCCCCTCTTGTCTTGCAGCGTCAAGCCTGCCATTCTAAACTCTGCTGATATAAAAACCATTTGCCCAGACTCCTTTGCCAGTTGGCTTCTTGTAAAGTTCTATCAATAAGCGGTTCTAGGAAGGAGGAAAGGAAAAGGGGGCTACTTTTTTTTTTTTTTTTTTTTTGAGACGGAGTCCTGTTGCATCACCCAGGCTGGAGTGCAGTGGCATGGTCTCGGCTCACTGTGACCTCCGTCTCCCAGGTTCAAGCGATTCTCCTGCCTCAGTCTCCTGAATAGCTGGGACTACAGGCGTGTGCCACCACACTGGCTAATTTATTGTATTTTTAGTAGAGACGGGGTTTCACCATGTTGGCCAGGCTGGTCTTGAACTCCTGACCTAGTGATCTGCCCCCCTCGGCCTCCCAAAGTGCTGGGATTACAGGCGTGAGCCACTGCGCCTGGCCAAGGAGGCTTCTTTCTTCTTTGTTCCTCTTGTCCATGTTGCCCAGCAGTGCCAGTTGACTCCAGCCTCCAAATTATTCCAGCTCTTCTAGAAGTAGACTCACTGGGACATTTCAGAGGTAGCAGCAGCAGCTGGGAGGTATTTCCTCCTCAGAGATCTGCACACTTCTGCAGGGTCTGCGGGGTCCACCTACCCCAGCCCTCAACTCCTACATTCTAGTGATTGAAACCCTTCCCTTCAGTTTCTCAGCAGCCGCTTCCTCCGCTTATCATCCTTAGGTGATCTCAGTGTTCCCTTTTGCTCCAAAACCTGTGTAACCAATTCCCTCTACTGAATACCCTCTGCTGAAATCCTTATTGTGATTTGTTTTCTCAACTAGACCCTGATCAATGCCCCAGTCATAACCAGCATGAGCTCTCCTCCTCATCCTGCAACTCAGGAAGTCCACAGTGAGTCAGTCTAACCTGAGGTGAAAAGAGACAACTGAACGTTTCATGAGCCTTAAGACTTGGAGGGCAATGATGGAAAGTATGGACAGGGGCCGGGTGCAGTGGCTCACACCTGTAATCCCAGCACTTTGGGAGGCTGAGGCAGGTGGATCACCTGAGGTCAGGTGTTCAAGACCAGCCTGGCCAAGATGGTGAAACCCGATCTCTATTAAAAATACAAACATTAGCCGGGCATGGTCACGCATGCCCGTAGTCCCAGCTACTCTGGAGGCTGAGGCAGGAAAATCACTTGAACCCGGGAGGTGGAGGTTGCAGTGAGCCGAGATGGCGCCACTGCACTCGAGTCTGGGAGACAGAGCAAGAGTCTGTCTGAAAAAAAAAAGAAAAAAGAAAAAGAAATGAAAAAAAAGAAAGTATGGACAGACAGACTCAATTTATGATCCCTCCCCGAGAGAGACTTCTGAATTCAAGCTTTAGGGATGAAGCCTAACTGTAGCAGCCTGACACCACAAAAGTCAAGGTCGCCCCCAACTCACATTGAACTCAGGGTCCATGTTACAAATCCTGCCAAAACCAGGCAAAATATTCCAGAAAAAAATCAGACTCAAAATTTAAAGTTATGATTATTTATTATAACTTTTACACAGGAAGAAGAAATGGGTAAAAATAAAATACAACTCTCCTCAATACACGCTCAACTCTCCCACAATACAGACTCAACTCCCCTACAATACAGACTCAACTCCCCTACAATACAGACTCAACTTCCCTATAATACAGACTCAACTCTCCCACAATAGACTCAACTCCCCTACAATACAGACTCAACTCTCCCACAATAGACTCAACTGCCCTACAATACAGACTCAACTCCCCTACAATACAGACTCAACTCGCCTACAATACACACTCAACTCTCCCACAATACAGACTCAACTCCCCTACAATACAGACTCAACTTCCCTATAATACAGACTCAACTCTCCCACAATAGACTCAATTGCCCTACAATACAGACTCAACTCCCCTACAATACAGACTCAACTCTCCCACAATAGACTCAACTCCCCTACAATACAGACTCAACTCTCCCACAATAGACTCAACTGCCCTACAATACAGACTCAACTCCCCTACAATACAGACTCAACTCCCCTACAATACACACTCAACTCTCCCACAATACAGACTCAACTCTCCCACAATACAGACTCAACTCCCCTACAATACAGACTCAACTCCCCTACAATACAGACTCAACTCCCCTACAATACAGACTCAACTCCCCTACAATACAGACTCAACTCTCCCACAATACAGACTCAACTCTCCCACAATACAGACTCAACTCTCCCAATACAGACTCAACTATCCCACTGTACAGACTCAACTATCCCACAGTAGACTCAACTCTCGCACAATACACTCAACTCTCCCACAATACAGACTCAACTCCCCTACAATACAGACTCAACTCCCCTACAATACAGACTCAACTCCCCTACAATACAGACTCAACTCCCCCACAATACAGACTCAACTCCCCTACAATACAGACTCAACTCCCCTACAATACAGACTCAACTCCCCTACAATACAGACTCAACTCCCCTACAATACAGACTCAACTCCCCTACAATACAGACTCAACTCTCCCACAATACAGACTCAACTCTCCCACAATACAGACTCAATTCTCCCACAATACAGACTCAACTCCCCTGCAATACAGACTCACCTATCCCACAATACAGACTCAATTATCCCAAAATACAGACTCAACTATCCCACAATACAGACTGAACTCTCCCACAATGCAGACTCAACTCGCACAATACAGACTCAACTCTCCCACAATACAGACTCAACTCCCCCACAATACAGACTCAACTCCCCTACAATACAGACTCAACTCCCCTACAATATAGACTCAACTCCCCCACAATACAGACTCAACTCCCCCACAATACAGACTCAACTCCCCTACAATACAGACTCAACTCCCCTACAATATAGACTCAACTCTCCCACAATAGACTCAACTCCCCCACAATACAGACTCAACTCCCCCAAAATACAGACTCAACTCTCCTACAATACACTCAACTCTCCCACAATGGAGACTCAACTCCCCTACAGTAGACTCAACTCTCCCACAATAGGCTCAACTCTCACAATACAGACTCAAGTCTCCCACAATACAGACTCAACTCTCCTACAATACAGACTCAACTCTCGCACAATACAGACTCAACTCTCCCACAATAGACTCAACTCTCCCACAATACAGACTCAACTCTCCCACAATACAGACTCAACTCTCCCACAGTACAGACTCAACTCTCCCACAATACAGACTCAACTCTCCCACAATACAGACTCAACTCTCCCACAATACAGACTTAACTCTCCCACAGTACAGACTCAACTCTCCCACAGTACAGACCCAACTCTCCCACAATACAGACTCAACTCTCTCACAGTACAGACTCAACTCTCCCACAGTACAGACTCAACTCTCCCACAGTACAGACTCAACTCTCCCACAGTACAGACTCAACTCTCACAATACAGACTCAACTCTCCCACAGTACAGACTCAACTCTCCCACAGTACAGACTCAACTCTCCCACAGTACAGACTCAACTCTCACAATACAGACTCAACTCTCCCACAGTACAGACTCAACTCTCCCACAGTACAGACTCAACTCTCCCACAGTACAGACTCAACTCTCCCACAGTACAGACTCAACTCTCCCACAGTACAGACTCAACTCTCCCACAGTACAGACTCAACTCTCCTACATTACAGACTCAACTCTCCTACAATACAGGCTGAACTCTGCAGTCTTATTTTTCTTGTATGTCCTTCCAAATGGATTGTGTCTTTAAAAAATAACTAAATTTTTTAATATAATAGAGATGGGGTTTTGACATGTTGCCCAAGCTGGTCTCGAATTCCTGGGCTTAGGCAATCCTCCCAGCTCGGCCTCCCATAGTGTTGTGATTACAGGTAGGATTACTTTGCACCTGCATGATCCTGCCTTTTTAATACCTCCAAGTTTTTAGTGTCTGTTTTCCAAATTTTTATCCACACCACATACGCAGAGCTAGTATGAGAACTTGAGTAAGTCACAAGGTATTTCTGAGAATCAGTTTCTTCTGGAGCCAAGGTCTTTTGTGACCCAGGATACATCTGGCAGAGAAGAGGTAAGAGGAGGCTTCATCAGAAGACAGATCAGTGCAATCTACTGGATGCCGTATCTGGGGACTTACGGCAGCACAAAGTCACTGGATGACTCCAATAAGTGAGACTCTTCCAAGAAAAAAGTGGGGCTGGCAGAGCAGTGGGGGTGGAGAAGAGCCAGAAGGAAGGAACTGTCACTTATTAAGGATTATTTTTCTCAGGGGCCATGCCAGCTGCTCTACACATATTACTTACCATAGCCACTCTGGTGGTTACATTATGATATTCATTACAATCTTTTTCTTTTTTCTTTTAAAGACAGACTCTCGCTCTGCCGCCCGGGCTGGAGCAGTGGTGCCATCTCTGCTTTTGCAACTTCTGCCTCCCAGGTTCAAGTGATTCTCCTGCCTCAGCCTCCTGAGTAGCTGGGATTACAGGCGTGCACCACCACACCCAGCTAGTATTTGTATTTTTAGTAAAGACAGGGTTTCAGCATGTTGGTCAGGCTGGTCTCGAACTCGACCTCAGGTGATCCACCCGCCTCGGCCTCCCAGTGTTCTGGGATTACAGGTGTGAGCCACCACCCCAGCCTCATTACAAATTTAAAAGTGAGGTAATGAAAGCTAACTAGTTCCCGCAAGGTCACACAAGTAGAGACCGAGTTAAAAAGAAAATTATTTTATTTTTTCCCTCCTGCACGACATGACTCTGTTTTGATTCTCAAACTCATGTCAGTTACTGGGCCTGCCAGGTGTGGTGACTCATACCTGTCATCCCAAAGCTTTGGGAGGCCGAGGCGGGAGGATTGCTTGCAGCCAGGAGTTCAAGACCAGCCTGGGCAACACAGTGAGACCCCCATCTCTACCAAAACAAATTGTTTGAATTAGCAGGGTGTTGTGGCATGTTCCTGTAGTCCTAGCAACCTTTCCACTTGGGAGGCTGAGGCAGAAGGACTGCTGGAGTCCAGGAGTTGGAGGTCACAGTGAGCTATGATCGCACCACTGCGCTCCAGCCTGGGGAACAGAGTAAGACTCTGTCTCTCAAAAAAAAAAAAAAAAGTTATGGATCCTATAGTTCAATTTCCTTTTTGGTTTTTTTTTTTTTTTTTTAGATACTCTCACACTCTGTTGCCCAAGCTGAAGTGCAGCCTTGACCTCCCAGGCTCAAGTGATCCTCCTGCTTCAGCCTCCCAAGTGGCTGGGACTACAGGCTGAAGCCACCATGCCCAGCTAATTTTTTTTTTCTTTTCTTTCTGTAGAGACAAGGTCTCACTATGTTGCCCAAGGTGGTTTCAAACCCCTGGGCTTGAGCAATCCTCCCACCTCAGCCTTCCAAGTAGCTGGAACTCCAGGCACGCACCACCACACCTGGCTAATTTTGAAATTTTATGTAGAGTTGGATTCTCATTGTATTGCCCAGGTTGGTCTTTAACTAACTCCTGGACTCAAGTGATCATCCTGCCTCAGCCTCCCAAAGTGCTGGTATTAAAGGCATGAGCCACGTCGCCCAGCCTTATCTTACAAACTAGCTCAGACTAGCAGGGAAAAAAGTGGTTGCAAACATCAGTTTGCCTTTTAGGTCTCCCCTCTCCAGAATCTTAGCCCCTTTGGCCCTCATTGTTTCAGTAGCTCACTAATGCTTTTAAGTAATTTTATATTTTTATCTGGCTTCTCCCATTGTTCACAGGATTGTAAATGTCCTGCAATCCAATCTGAAAAGCGTAAGTTTTGTTTTTCAAATATTTTAAAAATAGTTCACTAAAGCTAAGTAAGTCAAAAATTCCTCACAATGCTATTTTCCTTTCTTTTTCCTTCCTTTTTTTTTTCTTTCTCTTTCCCCTTCCTTTTTTTTTTTTTTTTGAGACAGGGTCTCACTGTCACCCAGGCTGGAGTGCAGTGGTACAATCTTAGAATCTCAGCTCACTGTAACCTCCGCCTCTCAGGCTCAAGCGATCCTCCACCTCAGCCTCCCATGTAGCTGGGACTACAAGCGTGCACCACACTTGGTAGAGAAGGGGGTTTCACCATGTTGCTCAGGCTGGTCTTGAACTCCTGAGCTCTAGCAATTTGTCCACCTCAGTCTCTCAAAGTGCTGGGATTACAGGCATAAGCCACCACACCAGGCCTCTTTTACTTTTTTTTTTTTGAGACAGAGTCTCGCTCTGTTGCCAGGCTGGAGTGCAGTGGCGCGATCTCGGCTCACTGCAACCTCCGCCTCCTGGGTTCAAGCGATTCTCCTGCCTCAGCCTCCTGAGTAGCTGGGACTACAGGCACCCGCCACCATGCCCAGCTAATTTTTGTATTTTTAGTAGAGATGGGGTTTCACCATGTTGGCCAGGATGGTCTCGATCTCTTGACCTCGTGATCCGCCCGCCTCGGCCTCCCAAAGTGTTGGGATTACAGGCATGAGCCACCGCGCCCGGCTACTTTTTTTTTTTTTTTTTTGAGACAGAGTCTTGCTCTGTCGCCCAGTCTGGAGTGCAGTGGCGCGATCTGGGCACACTGCAACCTCCACCTCCTGGGTTCAAGCAATTGTCCTGCCTCAGCCTCCTGAGTAGCTGGGATTACAGGCGCCCGCCACCATGCCCAGCTAATTTTTTTGTATTTTTAGTAGAGATGGAGTTTCACCATGTTGGCCAGGCTGGTCTCAAGCTCCTGACCTCAGGTGATCCACCTGCCTCGGCCTCCCAAAGTACTGAGATTACAGGCGTGAGCCACCGCGCCCGGCCCTACATTTTGCTTTCAAAATTTTGGGGGCGGCCAGAGAGACAGAGCGACACACTGTCTCAAAAAACAAAACAAACAAACAAAAACTAAAACAAATAAAATCTTTTTCGAGACAGGGTCTCACTCTATCACCTAGGCTGGAGCGCAGTGGTGCAATCTTGGTTCACTGAAGCCCTGACCTCTGGGACTCAGGCGACCCTCCCACCTCAGCCTCTTGAGCAGCTGGGACCACAGGCGTGCACCCCCACAACTGGTTAATTTTCCTACTTTCTGTAGAGATGGGGTTTCACCATGTTGCCCAGGCTGGTCTCGAACTCTTGGGCTCAAGCGATCTGCCTGCCTCAGCCTCCCAAAGTGCTGGGATTACAGTCCTGAGCCACCATGCCCAGCCCCTTTTTTCTCTTAATGCTGAAAAAGCTTTCCTGAATTATAATTTTTAAAACTTAAAAGGCAGAAAAGGGCCATCTACAGTGGTGCAGACTGAGATTTATAAGCTTCCTTTATCTTGCAATATTTTAAGAACATTTTAAGTTTTTTTTTTTTTTTTGAGACGCAGTCTTGCCCTGTCGCCCAGGCTGGAGTGCAGTGGAGCGATCTCGGCTCACTGCAACCTCCGCCTCCTGGGTTCAAGCGATTCTCCGGCCTGAGCCTCCCCAGCAGCTGGGACTACAGGCCTGGCACCACGCTTGGCTGATTTTTTTTTTGTATTTTTAGTAGAGACGGGGTTTCACCACGTTGGCCAGGCTGGTCTCAAATTCCTCACCTCAAGTGATCTGCCCACCTCAGCCTCGCAGTGCAGTGTTAGGATTACAGGTGTGAGCCACTGAGTCCAGCCACATACTCCCTTCTCAAGGTGTTTTCTGGGTATTCACCCTGATTTTGGGGGCGGGTTGGAGTTATGAAAAACAACATCACAGACTTCCTATAAAGACCTTTTTTTTGAGATGGAGTCTTGCTCTGTTGTCCAGTCTGGGGTGCAATGGCGTGATCTCTCGGCTCACTGCAACCTCCACCTCCTGGGTTCAAGTGATTTTTGTGCCTCAGCCTCCCGAGTAGCTGGGACTACAGGCACCCGCCTAATTTTTGTATTTTTAATAGAGATGGGATTTCTCCACGTTGGCCAGGCTGGTTTCAAACTCCTGACCTCAGGTGATCCACCTGCCTCGGCCTCCCAAAGTTGTTGGGATTACAAGGCATGAGCCACCGTGCCTGACCCCCCGACCTTTTTTGTTTTTGTTTTTTTGAGGCACATGTCACCATGCCCGGCTTATTTTTATTTTGAGACAGGCGTGAGCAAGCACACCCAGCCAAAAATTTCTCCTACATGTCATTCTGCATACATGTGAAGACAGCCTTAAGAAATTCCTAGAATAGTCAAACGTACCTCCAGAGATTTTCAATTATCTATTCATACCAAGCAATGTATAAGAATGCCTAGTTCCTCGCAGTCTTGCCAAGATTAAAACAAAACAAAAAATTCCCTTATCTTTGCTAATCTGAAGGATGAACAAACTTATGAGTATTAGCATAAGATTATGCATCTCTTCACCTAATAGTTCAGAACCGGTTATAGTTACTTTCTTGTGAATGATGTTTCTTGGGAACATACGCATTTCTAGTTCTCCTATTGAGGACTTTTCTTTTTTTTCTTTTTTTTTTTTTTTTGAGACGGAGTCTCCAGTCTGTCACCCAGGCTGGAGTGCAGTGGCACAATCTTGGCTCACTGCAACTTCCGCCTCCTGGGTTCAAGCAATTCTCTGTCTCAGCCTCCCGAATAGTTGGGATTACAGGCACACGCCACCACACCCGGCTAATTTTTGTATTTTTAGTAGAGACGGCGTTTCCCCATGTTGGCCAGGCTGGTTTCAAACTCCTGACTTCAGGTGATCTGCCTGCCTCGGCCTCCCAAAGTGCTGGGATTACAGGTGTGAGCCACCATGCACGGCCGAGTTATTGGTCTTTTCTTAATGAACTGGAGGATACTTTACATAAAGGAAATTAGCTCTTTGTGATGAACTGCAACTATTTCTTCCCAAGTTTGCCACAGCTTCCAATTTCCCTTGATGGTAGTTTTTGTTATGCAGAACTTTTAATTTTCATGTAGCTGATTTTTACATATTTTTAAGTTGTGGTAAAATACACATAATAATCCATTTTTATTTTTAGTATTTTATTTTTCAGATTCTCAGCCTCTGCACAGCCTTAGTACTCCCTGAGAAATTCAGTGTTTGCATATCCTTTCCACAAAAATGAGAGGAAAAAGGACCAGTACCTGCTAGTGACTGATACATTTATTAGTTTCTAACAAAAAGGCATACATGGTAGGCAGAGTAGAAATACTAACAGAAATTAGTTTATCTTGAAACCAATTTTAGTCAGGAAGACTTCTTCACAGAGAATGAGCTGAATATATAAATCCCAAATATATCACACCATATATGTGATATATTTACACCTAAATATATCACACCCTCCTTTTTGGTCACAGACTATTCCAGGAAGATTAAATAGATAACGTTTAATTTGAGGCATTCAAGAATGTCCACCCTAAAACTGAAAGTGAAATTGCTCTTAGAGAAAAATTGGTTTGATGAGAAGATTGATCTTAGCCTGTCTCAGACAAATTTGGTTTATTTATTTTTACTTAACGACCCATGTGATAGTATAGTTGCAAGCTATACTTCATTTAACTACAATCATTACTCAGAGGACAATCACCTTAAGAGGCAAATTAAGTTTTAAATTAGCACAGAATTTATAATTACCCAATCAGCATTGACATAGATGCCATCAGGTATGCAAAGATTAACAAAATTCTATTACCAACCTTAGAGGAAAAAAACTTAATGACATACAGAAATACTGGCAAATTTAAGCTAGAATTAGCTCCAGGACATTTTATCTTATTTTCACATTAAAAGAATAGATTACTAGATATCAGCAGAAATGCTGTTAAAGCTATTTTTTACTAATAGTTGTTCATATTAATGAAACAAAAGATCAATAGTCTCTGAGCTAAATTTCACAAAATGAAATCAGTGTCTTCTGATTTAACTTTCAGGAGTAAGAAAGGGCAAAACCCAAGCACCATACTTTCTATTTCTGTTCATAAACTCAAATAAAAGCAGTATCAACACAAATGATCATATAAGAAAACACGTGGTTATGTTTCAGGTTCCACAACATAAGACACTGTGAGGTAACTCTCCTGTAATACATTCCCATTTTTTTCTGGAATAGCAGATGCATAGAAATGCAGGTTTCCAAAAATTCACCCAATTTAGTAACTAATTTTGATTCTGATGCCTGATAGTAGGGTGTGAAAAGCTGTAAAACCCAAATGTTTCCTGTGTTCTTTCACAAGGACAAGGGAAGAGGATGCTCTGCCAAACTGCCCCTGCTGCGTCATAGTGGACCAGTTTCAATGATCCAGACTGTCAGTCACCCCATCCAGCCTCATCCTCATCTGGACCCATTTCTCACCACCCAATCAGTTTCAATGATCCAGACTGTCAGTCACCCCATCCAGCCTCATCCTCATCTGGACCCATTTCTCACCACCCAATCAGTTTCAATGATCCAGACTGTCAGTCACCCCATCCAGCCACATCCTCATCTGGACCAGTTTCTGACCACCCAATCAGTTTCAATGATCCAGACTGTCAGTCACCCCATCCAGCCACATCCTCATCTGGACCAGTTTCTGACCACCCAATCAGTTTCAATGATCCAAACTGTCAGTCACCCCACCCAGCCTCATCTGGACCAGTTTCTGACGACCCAATCAGTTTCAATGATCCAGACTGTCAGTCACCCCATCCAGCCTCATCCTCATCTGGACCCGTTTCTGACCAACCACCCAATCAGTTTCAATGATCCAGACTGTCAGTCACCCCATCCAGCCTCAGCCTCATCCTCATCTGGACCCGTTTCTGACCAACCACCCAATCAGTTTCAATGATCCAGACTGTCAGTCACCCCATCCAGCCTCAGCCTCATCCTCGTCTGGACCCGTTTCTGACGACCTAATCAGTTTCAATGATCCAGACTGTCAGTCACCCCATCCAGCCTCATCTGGACCAGTTTCCGACGACCCAATCTGTTTCAATGATCTGGACTGTCAGTCACCCCATCCAGCCTCATCCCAGCTCTTAACTCCTTCTGCATAGTTCAGTTTCCTTTCTGGCAACTAATTCCCAATTTCCTAGAAAACCCTGATTTTCTGATTTAACACTGATTCGAATCCACTTTAAACCAAAGGAAACAGGCCGGGCGTGGTGGCTCACGCCTATAATCCCAGCACTCTGGGAGGCCGAAGCAGGTGGATCACCTGAGGACAGGAGTTCAAGACCAGCCTGGCCAACATGGTGAAATCCCATCTCTACTAAAAGTACAAAAAAAAAAAAAAATTAGCTGGGTAGCTGGGTGTAGTGGCACATGCCTATGATCCCAGCTACTCGGGAGGCTGAGGCAGAAGAATCGCTTGAACTCGGGAGGCGGAGGTTGCAGTGAGCTGAGATCGCGCCATTGCACACCAGCCTGCGTGACAGAGCAAGACTCTGTCTCCAAAAAAAAAAAAAAAAAAAAAAAAAAAAAAAAATCTGGGATTTCCCACATATGAATATGAATCCAAATTTTGAAACTCCGTCTAAAAAAAAAAAACAAACACCAAAGGAAATGCTACAATGCTGAAAATTGAATTAAATTGGAGATGGAAATTAGATTACTTTAGGAAAACCTTTTGAGTACTCTGTAAACATTGGACAATAGCAAGAAAATGGATTTTAAACCCTGCATGGGTTCCTTAATCACTCAGAATAGTATAATCTTGCTTTGATTACCAGTCACGACAAAAAGGTGAGCAAAGGCCATAAAACATGCAGTTTTTGGAAAGACAATGGCACTTGAAGATTTCCTGGAGTTGGCCAAAGCTTAAGATATCTCTAAGAATTGTAAAGCTTAATACACATCTGTTATTAAGAAGGGAAACGACAGGGGACCCCTGCTTACCGCTGAGCTGTGCAGAAGCTCATGTGTCTATGCAGTCCTTACAATCACACAGACCTTCATTAAGGACAATGAGTGTGCCTAGAGAGCAGCATGAATGACACATGGATGAAGATTCCATGATAGGAAAGAGCTTCACATTCCAGCTTTACTAGATCACAAAGCACTCCCTTTACCAGGCCTTACTTTGTGCATCTCTGAAACATCTGAAAAACACTTTTCTGTGAAATGCTAGGCTGTAGGGAGTGAGCACTTTTGGATACCTTACAGTGATCTCTAGTAGAATTTGGCATCTTTCTTCTATTAACTGACTGCTTCAACTGCATCTTTAAAGACACTTGCCTATTTTTGTCCCTTGAGCCTCTCTCTGGTGTTGGATGCTTTGTGTGAGTTTGCCTTTTGAAGTTCCCATCTTTGGGATTCTTCCTCTGTCCATTTAGCACTTTGTCTGGAGGGGAGGATGTAGCGCGTAAGTGATACTCATCTGGGGATCCTTTTTGCCGGTTTGGCACCATTTGCTCTTTATCCACCTCCTTCTGAAGTTGTAATGCCAATAACCTGTCCTGTTCTTCTTGTTTATGTCTCTCAAACAGTAGATGCTCCAAATCTATCAGTTTTTGGGTAAAGTTTATTTCTGTTTCCTCTTGATCTGGGGAAGATTCGGGGGACACTTTTCTTCTTTTTGCAGAAAAGCATGGATCCTTGACTGCTTCAAAGGAAGATTCTTGGTTTTTTCTTTTGGAAATCTCCTTACTGATCAGTAGGCACGACTCTTCATTTTCTGTCTCACCTGTGTTGTTTCCATTTGTCTGTGTCACCCCTGATGTGGGGGCGCACCCACTTTCTGTTCTGCCACAAGGCATAACTGCAGTTTCTTTCGAGTAGGGAACTCTGGTTTTAGGTCGCTCGTGACTTAAGACACATAACTCTTTCCCATGATTGCTTGGTCTTGTTTTGACGTTTCCTTCATGGTACCATTCGGCACCACAGGCACATAACCATGGCATAGGGGACTCTATTGAAGAATCTGCACCTTGTTCTCCAACTCCAAGGGATATCTGTGGAGAAAGTGTCGGCATATCTTCTATTTCTGTGTCTTGCCCTGTTGGGCTTTTCCTATCACTACTGTCAATGTCCTGTAGAAAACAGAAAAAGACTGAGTGAACCAGGGGAAAATATCAAATCATAAGATGTAAGTCTAATTACACTGATACTACAGCTGGACTGTCACTATACATTATTATTACTAATAAGGTATATATTTCTTTCTTTCTTTTCTTTTTTTTTCAGAGTCTTGCTCTGTCGCCCAGGCTGGAGTGCAGTGGCGCGGTCTCAGCTCACTGCAACCTTCACCTCCCAGGTTCAAGTGATTCTCCTGCCTCAGCCTCCCAAATAGGTGTATATTTATTCTTAATAGTATTTTTATTTCATGGGCAAATTTAGATTAAGCTATTACTTCATTTTCACTCCCATGAAAACCTACAGATTAAAACCCACAGACTAGATTCCAAATATGGCCAATAGCTGGTATCAGGACCTGACCTTCTTTCACCTTACAAAGGTCTGCCAGCATAGGGGTTTTTAACTCTTTTCTCTACCGTGGACCCTCCTTTTGGCATTTAGGTGAAGCTTACAGACCACTTCTGAGAATAATGTTTTTAACTAAAAAATTAAGATATACAGTAGCTTTACAAAAGGAACAATTTATGTTGTAAACACAATCATTAAAAGGTTCAAAAAAATGTGAGGTAATAATGTGCATCTATAATACAGTAAATAATAGGATCTACCAGCCAGTCTAATAACTCATAATACCCAATTATCTGTGTCACCCCTGATGTAGTACACCCACTCTCTGTTTTGCCACAAGGCACAACTGCAGTCTAATACCAATGTAGAGATAAGTATAAATGATATTTAAAGATATCTGTAACATGGCTGGGCACGGTGGCTCATGCCTGTAATCACAGCACTTCCGGAGGCTGAGGCGGACAGCTCACCTGAGGTCAGGAGTTTGAGACCAGCCTGGCCAACATGATGAAACCCCATCTCTACTAAAAATACAAAAATTAGCCGGGCGTGGGGGTATAAGCCTGTAGTCCCAGCTACCAGGGAAGCTGAGGATGCACCGAGCATCCACTGTACTCCAGCCTGGACGATGGATTCTCTCTCAAAAAATAAACAAAACAAAACAAACAAGCAAAAAAAAAATACCTAGTGTTTGGAAGATAAAGCTTGGGACTTCTATAAGTTACTTCTATAAGTAACTTGACTGGGTGTATTTCTCACCAAGACCCCTGGAAGCTAGACCCATTGTTTGTTATAAGAAATAATTGACCCTTACAGGGCATGTGGTCTCAAA
Organism: Homo sapiens; assembly: GCF_000001405.40. Classification (NCBI taxonomy): domain Eukaryota; kingdom Metazoa; phylum Chordata; class Mammalia; order Primates; family Hominidae; genus Homo; species Homo sapiens. The sequence continues at coordinate 196,473,999 of NC_000003.12, forward strand.
GTAGTTAATACACTCACTTGTGTGGCCTTTTTCCAGGCTATCACCTTGGAGCTCTGCTGCTGAGGACTCCTGCTGAACACACATGCCTGATGCTGCCTTACTAGCATACTTTTTCTCATCTTGCAATTTTTTTTTTTTTTTTTTTTTGAGGTGGAGTCTCACTCTGTCATCCAGGCTGGAGTGCAATGGCGACATCTCAGCTCACTGCAACCTCCGCCTTCCGGGTTCAAGCAATACTCCTGCCTCAGCCTCCTGAGTAGCAGGGACTACAGGTATGTGCCACACCTGGCTAATTTTTTTTTTTTTTTTGGTATTTTTAGTAGAGATGGGGTTTCACCACATTGGCCAGGCTGGTCTCGAACTCCCAACTTTCTGCCTGCCTCAGCCTCTCAAAGTGCTAGGATTACAGGCCTGAGCCACCGTGCTTGGCCTCCCATCTTGTAATATTCTTTTTTTTTTTTTTTTTGAAACAGAGTTTCACTCTTGTTGTCCAGGCTGGAGGGCAACGGCACGATCTCAGCTCACCGCAACCTCTACCTCCCGGGTTCAAGCAATTCTCCTGCCTCAGCCTCCCAAGTAGCTGGGATTACAGGCATGCGCCACCACACCCGGCTAATTTTGTATTTTTTTGTAGAGATGGGGTTTCTCCATGTTGGTCAGGCTGATCTCGAACCCCTGACCTCAGATAATCCACCTGCCTCAGTCTCCCAAAGTGCTGGGATTACAGGCGTGAGCCACCGCATTCAGCTCCATCTTGTAACATTCTAAGTGAAGCTGGTGCCAGGTATAACCTATTCAGTTTTGTGAGTTTGGATTACATAGGTCAAGGATCAGTAATCTATGGCTCATGGACCAAATCCAGCCTCCTGCCTGTTTTTGTAAACAAAGTTTTACTGGAATGCATTCAAGCTGATGTGTTTACATATTATCTATAGATGCTTTCACACTACACCAGCGTAGCTGAGAAGCTGTGACACAGATCACACTAACTGCAAAGGCGAAAATATTCACTCTCTTAGAGAAAAACTTTGCTTTTTGTAGTATGTTTATTTAAAAAATTGTAGTTTCCTTTGGAGAAAAAGTGCTTTTTCTCTAGGTGAGCCTAAGAGGACTCAGACAGGGTGTTTGATTAACTATAGGGGCTTTTGTTAAAAGGTAGAAAACTATGGATAGCACTAATCTACAGCATTAATGAACCAGCAAAACTCAGAACATCTTCAGTATCAACATACCTTAGATACGGAGTCTTTCCTGACTTCTTGTACAGCTTCAGAGTGTGAGGCTGACCCAAACTGAGATTTCGGTGTCAAATACCTAAAAGAAAAGTTTACCAAAGTTTCAATGCTTTCAAAGACAGATGGTATGTACCCAACATAATAAAGCTATTTATACCGAAGGTTGTCTGGTTTGCTGCTTGGCTGTTTTATCAGAGTGTATCTCATTTCCGTGCTTCAGATATTTTGGTCAATTCCAGGACAAAACTTAAATGATTGAGTATTGATATTTTAGTGAAAAACAGAAAAGGAAGTAAAAGTCAAATCTAAATATTTTTTCTTTTTTTTTTTTTTTTGAGATAGAGTCTCGCTCTGTCACCCAGGCTGGAGTGCAGTGGTGTGATCTCCGCTCACTGCAAGCTCCGCCTCCCGAGTTCACGCCATTCTCCTGCCTCAGCCTCCCAAGTAGCTGGGACTACAGGCGCCCACCACCACGCCCGGCTAATATTTTGTATTTTTAGTAGAGACGAGGTTTCACCGTGTTAGCCAGGATGGTCTCGATCTCCTGACCTCGTGATCCGCCTGCCTTGGCCTCCCAAAGTGCTGGGATTACAGGCGTGAGCCACTGAGCCCGGCTAAATATTTTTTTTTCTTTTCTTTTTTTTGAGACGGAGTCTCCCTCTGTCGCCCAGGCTGGAGTGCAGTGGCGCGATCTCAGCTCACTGCAACCTCCGCCTCCCGGGTTTAAGCGATTTTTCTGCCTTAGCCTCCTGAGTAGCTGGGATTACAGGCGCCCGCCACCACGCCCGGCTAATTTTTGTATTTTTAGTAGAGACGGGTTTCACCATGTTGGTCAGGCTGGTCTCGAACTCCTGACGCTCAGGTGATCCGCCTGTCTCAGCCTCCCAAAGTGCTGGGATTACAGCCGTGAGCCACTGCGCCCAGCGTAAATATTTCTTAATTCTTGAAAAAAGCTTAAAAAAGCAGATAGCATCAAAACAATGCAAGACTCTATAGTCTTCCCAAAAGTAATGAAAATGATGCTTTAAACTAGGAGAAAGGATATGTTAGTTTCTTCTTTATGCTGGAAATGTTGGCTGTTCACGACATTTTAAATCTCTACTATTGGGAAAAAGTCCATGATTAAATTCCTTACTATTCTGGTATAGAGATGTTATCATACATACTTTTATATCAACTCTCTTCTTTTTTTTTTTTTTCTGAGACGGAGTCTTGCTCTGTCACCCAGGCTGGAGTGCATTGGTGCAATCTCGGCTCACTGCAACCCCGCCTCCCAGGTTCAAGTGATTCTCCTGCCTCAGCCTCCTGAGTAGTTGGGATTACAGGCATGTGCCACCACGTCCAGCTAATTTTTGTATTTTTAGTAGAGACGGGGTTTCACCATGTTGGCCAGGCTGGTCTCGAAGTCCTGACCTCAGGTGATCCGCCTGCTTCGGCCTCCCAAAGTGCTGGGATAACATGCGTGAGCCACCGTGCCTGGCCCTCAACTCTCTTCTTAGAAACACATATCTTTACATTTCTTTCTTTTTTTTTGAGACAGAGTCTCACTCTGTCGCCAGGCTGGAGTGCCGTGACATGATCTTGGCTCACTGCAACCTCCGCCTCCCGGGTTCAAGTGATTCTCCTGCCTCAGCCTCCTGAGTAGCTGGGACTACAGGCACACGCCACCATGCCCTGCTAATTTTTGTATTTTTAATAGAGACAGGGTTTCACCACGTTGGCCTGGATGGTCTCAATCTCTTGACCTCAGGTGATCCGCCTGCCTCGGCCTCCCTAAGTGTTGGGATTACAGGCGTGAGCCACTGCACCTGGTCATATCTTTACATTTCTAAGAATCTTCAATATAACAGGCTGTTTGCCACTGAAAACACTACGGTTTTAATAGAATGGAAAATGTTATAAAAGAACGGGGAATAGAAAAGGCAGGCTACAAGATGGTAGGTATAGTTTAAAAATTGTAAAATATCCAAACATGCATATAACTATGTTTACAAATGGCAGAAATTTCCCAAAATGTTGGTTGTCTCCAAATGGTGGAAACTTTGGGTGATTTTCAAAGAGCAGCTAGCCATGGCTTTTAGAATTAGAGAAAAAAAGTGACTATAAATAACAGACAAATCCATAAGTTACACTGTGTCAAAAGCACCAACAAGTAGCATATGGAACAATCAAACCTAAACAAAGATCTCATATAAAGAACTAATGAATATTCCTTATGGGCAAACAAGAGTACCTAACCCATATATTTAGTTATATCAATCTATATATTTACTCTGTTAACTTTGAAGAACAAGAACCAAATTTTCAGTTGAAAAGAAGCTTAGTCTCATTTAGTTTCTTTAGGCTGAAGAATTCTTTCTGTCAATGCTGATGCGGGACCACTACTTACGAAGCATACCAGTACCAAAGTATCACTGTTATAACAGTTGTTTTGACGTTCATAAGCAGAGAACAGAATGTTATTACTTATCCAACACAATCACTGAAGATTCATTAACTCTCTTGGATATTCCTTATTTATAATAACCAAGTAATATATGAATACATGCTCATTCTGAAAATAAGCAGAACTGGCCGTGGTGGTTCATGCCTGTAATTCTAACACTTTGGGAGGCTGAGGTGGGAGGATCGTTTGAGGCCAGGAGTCCGAAAACTGGACAACACAGCAAGACCCATCTCTACAAAAAATTAAAAAGAAAAATTAGCTGGACATAATGGTGTGTGCCTATAGTCCCAGCTACTCTGAAGGCTGAGGTGGGAGGATCGCTTGAGCCCAAGAGTTTGAGGCTGCAGTGAGCTATTTTCTTGCCACTGTGGCCTGGGTAACAGTGAGACCCTGTCTCTTAAACAAAACAGAAATACAGGAAATATATGTCATCAACCCTTTCCCTTCCCATGTTTTAAGAACTTTTTTTTTTCTTTTTTCCTTGAGTCTGAATTTTTGGGATCCATTCCCATTTGCTTCCTTTTATGTTTTAAATTAAGTTTAGCCTAAAGCTGCCTCCTTACGTATTTTAAGTTCAGCCCAAAGATTTCTCTGTATATAGTGAACTACAGCCTAAAGGGAGGTGTGAACAGCCTGTAAACTACTCTTGTGCCAGTCACCAAGCTTTGGCCAAAGGGGGCCAACTGTTCAAATCATGTTCAAATAAGGCAAATGCCAAACTGTAACCACTCTGGCTGTCTCTGCCCCTCATTTCTGCTTTCCATACATCACGTTCCCTTTTCTGTCTGTTAATCTTCTTCCGACATGTGGCTCCACGGGAGTCGCTCTCGGCCTACTCTGGCTCGAGAGGCTGCCCAATTTGTGAATTGTCCTTTGCTCAATTAAACTCTGTTAATTTGTCTAAGGTTCTCCTTTTAACATATGTAACCAATTTTTTAAAAATATGATTTCTATGAAATACACACTCTTTTTGATTTTGTTTATTTTAGTTATTTTATTTTTTGGGGGACAGAGTCTCACTCTATCGCCCAGACTGAAGTACAATGGCACAATCTCTGCTCACTGCAACCTCTGCCTCCCGGGTTTAAGCAACTCTCCTGCCTCAGCCTCCCAAGTAGCTGGGATTACAGGCATGCACCACCATGCCCAGCGAATTTTTGTATTTTTGGTAGAGACAGGCTGATCTCGAATGCCTGACCTCAGAAGTATTGTATTTTTGGTAGAGACAGGACAGCCAGGCTGGTCTTGAACTCCTGACCTCAGGTGATCCACCCACCTCGGCTTCCCAAAGTGTTAGGATTACAGGTGTGAGCCACCGCACCTGGCCATTATTTTATTTATTTTTTTTTGAGACGGCGTCTCACTCTATTGCCCAGGTTGGAGTGCAGTGGTGCAGTCTCAGCTCACTGCAACCTCCACCTCCTGAGTTTTAAGCAATTCTCTCTGCCTCAGCCTCCCGAGTAGCTGGGATTACAGGTGCTCGCCACCACACCCGGCTAATTTTTGTATTTTTAGTAGAGATGGGGTTTCGCCATGTTGGCCAGGCTGGTCTTGAACTCCTGACCTCAGGTGATCCACCCGCCTCGGCCTCCCAAAGTGCTGGGATTACAGGTGTGAGCCACCGTGCCTGGCTTCATTATTTTTTAAGGCAGGGTCTTGCTGTCACCAAGGCTGAAGTGCAGTAGCACCATCATAGCTCACGGCAGCCTTGACCTCCCAGGTTCACGTGATCCTGCCACCTCAGCCTCCCAAACATCTGAGACCACAGGCACACCACGCCCGGCTAATTTTTGTTATTTTTTGTAGAGACAGGGTTTCCGCATGTTGCCCAGGCTGGTCTCAAACTCCTAGGCTCAAGTGATCCACCTGCCTTGGCCTCCCAAAGTGCTGGGATTGCAGGTATGAGCCAACACACCCAGCCTCACGCTTTTTTTTTTGAGACGGACTATCGCCCAGGCTGGAGTGCAGTGGTGTGACCTCGGCTCACTGCAACCTCCGCCTCCCAGGTTCAAGCAATTCTCCTGGCTCAGCCTCCCCAGTAGCGGGATTACAGGCGTCCGCCACCACGCCTGGCTAATTTTTTTGTATTTTTAGTAGAAACGGGGTTTCACCATGTTGGCCAGGCTGGTTTTGAACTCCTGACCTCAAGTGATCTGCCTGCCTCACCCTCCCAAAGTGCTAGGATTACACGCATAAGCTACTGCGCCCGGCTTGTGATTTGCTTTTTTCACTAATGTCTTAAGATCTTTCCAAGTCTGCCTCATGAAAACAAAGTTTATGAGAGAACAGTCATACAATACATGTAAGAATCACAGTACAGCACGGTCACGGGGAGGGGGACACTGACTGGAAAGGGAAAGGGCACAAGCAAACCTTTGTAAATATTCCGTCTTCATCTGGTGGGTGGTTTATACACACACAAAAATTCACCAGAAAGTATACTTAGGATTGGTGCACCGTCTTTTTAAATTTTTTACTTTTTCTTTTTTACCCTGTCTTATGGTGCCGAAGACTGGTGCACTTTAAAATATATGTTTGCTGCTCTGTGGTCCATTAAAAACAAAACAAAAAAATGTGTTATTCTTCTAAAAAGTTTAAAAATCTGTATTACCATGAAAGCCCATATGCTTATTACTTGGTTGAAGGGAAAAGAAATCATTGGTTTGAAAGTCTCCTATGGGGCCTCGTCATCTCCCACCTCATACTATCCTGAGTTTCTTATATCTTACTTTTTAAAACAGATTTGCCACACTTTTGCATCTCTAAACACTTTATTGATTAGTATTGTGTGATTCTGAGCGAGACTCCGTCTCAAAAGAAAAATTTGAAAAGTTGGAATTCTGATTCGAATTGCACTGACTCTATAGATCAGTCTGAGGAGATCTGACCATTTTGTAGTATTAGGCATCTTCTAACCCATGAATATTGTATATTTAATATAATACAATTTTCTCCACGGGTCGTACAGATTTTTATTTTTCTGAGACATGGTCTTGTCTGTTGCCCAGGCTGGAGTGCAGTGGTAAAATCACAGCTCACTGCAGCCGTAACCTCCCAGGCTCAAGTGATCCTCCTGCCTCAGCCACCTGAGCAGCTGGGACTACAGGTGTGCATCATCATGCCTGGTTAATTTTTTAATTTTTTTTTAAGAGATAGGGTCTCCCTGTGCAGCTCGGGCTCGTCTTGAACTCCTGGGCTCAAGCAATCCTCTCGCCTCAGTCTCCCGAAGTGCTGGGATTATAGGCATGAGCCACCATGCTTGCCTCAGATTTTAACACATTTATTTTTAAGTACTTTTATTTTCTGATACTACTATCGACAGAGTATTTTTAAAGTTACATTTTACAATTGACTTTTTGTACAGATTTTATATCTGGCAACCTTGCTAAACTCTTCATTCTAAAAATGTACCTCTGACTTTTTGGGTTTTCTACATAGATAATTATACCGCCTCTGAAGAATGATAGCTGCTTTTTCCTTCCTTTCCAGGCTGATATGTTTTATCTCCTTTTATTGTGTTACTGTGCAGACTAAACTCTCCAGCATGAGTCTGAATGCAGGTGGAGAGTAGCAGGCCACCCTTGCGTATTCCTGACCTTACAAGGGGAATGGCGGGGCGTGGCGGCTCACTCCTGTAATCCAGGCACCTTGGGAGGCCCAGGCGGGAGGATCACTTGTACCCAGGAGTTTGAGGTTGCAGTGGGCCATGATCGCACCACTGCGCTCTAGCCTGGGTGACAGGGCAAGAAAGACTGTCTGGAAAAAAAAAAAAAGGAAATAATTTCGATGTTCCACTATGAAGTATGATATGTGATGTAAGATTTTGGTAGATATCCTTCAACAGGTTAAGAAAGTTTCTTTCTGTTACCACTTCATTAAGAATTATCATCTCGTGTATTTCATATTTATACAGCTAATTGAATAACTTACAGTGATTCATTTTCTACCATTAAACCAGCAATGTATTCCTGGAATTGTCTTTTTAAATACGTTTTCAGCTGCGTTTTTTTTTTTTTTTTTTTTTTTTTTTGAGATATGATCATAGCTCACTGCAGCTTCGACCTCTTGGGCTCAAGCAATTCTCCCACCTCAGCCTCCCAAGTGGCTGGGGTTACAGGCATGTGCCACTGCATTTGGCTAATTTTTTTATTTTGTGTAGAGACAGGGTCTTACTATGTTGCCCAGGCTGGTCTTGAACTCCTCCTGGCCTCAAGCAATCCTACCACCTCAGACCTCAGCCTCCCAAAGTGCTGGGATTATAGGCATGAGCCACTGTCCCTGGCTTTTTTTTTTTTTTTTTTTTAGAGACAGGATCTTGCTATGCTGTCCAAGCTGGTCCCAAACTCAAACTCCCTGGGCTTAAGCAATCCTCCTGCCTCAGCCTCCCATGTAGCTGGGATTACAGGTACGTGCCACAACACCTGGCTGCCCTTTCTTCTTTTCTGATACGGCACGTAAAGCCTTCTAAATACCACTTTAGCCACATACCAGTTTTCATGCATATTTTCAGTTCTGTATTTCCAACAAAATTTACTCTTTAATCAACAAGTTGTTTAGAAATTTTTCTTAATTTTAAAACTATATAATCCTGTTATTCATTTTTAAACTTTTGAATTGAGGTGTAATTCACATAAAATGGAATGCCACATTTTGTTTACCCATTCATTTGTTAATGGACATTTGGGTTGTTTCTACCTTTCGGTTATTTGAATAATGTTGACACAAATATTCATGTACAAGTATTTGTTTGAATACCTGCTTTCAATTCTTTTGGGTACATACCTAGGAGTGGAATTGCTGGGTCATATGCTAATTCCGTTTAACTTTTCAAGGAATCACCAACTGTTTTCTGCAGCCACGATACCACTTTACATTCCTACCAAGCAATGCGCAAGGATTCCAATTTCTCCACATCTTTGTCAACACTTATTATTTTCCCTTTTTGTGGATTATAGCCATCCTAATGGGTATGAAATGCTATATCACTGTGGTTTTGATATGCATTTCCCTAATAACTAATGATGTTAAACATATTTTCGTGTACTTATTGGCCACTTGTACATCATGGGAAAAATGTCTACTCAAGTCCCTTTGTCCAGTTTTTAATTATTTGTCTTCTGTTGTTGAGTTATAAGAGTTTTCATATATTCTAGAAAACAGACTTTATCTGTTTTTAATATTGTTACAACTTTAATCCATCAGTTTCTCAATTTTTGCTTTTAAATCCTTAGTTTTTCTTGTATCTCTGGTAATTTTTTATTTTTATGTATTTCAAAGTATATATTTAGATATATAAAGATTCATGAGTTATAGCCTTAAACAGCATATTGTATCAATATGAAATACTTCTGCATTTTAGCGGTTTTCTCATTTTTACTTTGCACATTATGAGTACTGGCGACACTGATATTGTCACATCTTTTTTTTTTTTTAATAGTACCTCCCTCATTTAACATTCTCTTCTCCTAAGCTTCCTCCCACCTCAAATACAAAATTTCAACAAATCTTGGAAGGAGATGAGTTACCTGCACATATTTCCTCAGTTGAACCAGAAGTCCTTATGTATTTTTCAAGTCTAGACTGTGGTTTTTAAACTTTTCCAACTGTGAGTTACCATGGGAAAGCTGATGTTTGCGTAAAGCCACCAACTCCACCTGGCACCTGACCCTGGAGGGGTGTTGTGGTGAAACTCAATCACGCCACCTTTGTCTACCTGACTCATGCATTTTGTGTAATAGAGAAGAAATGACAAATTGTAAACTCTTTCAGTGAAGATAAGCCTATCTGGGACCCATTTTTTTCATCTGAATTTAAACCAAGAGAAAGAGGAATCCAATGGTTCACTTTGAGAAAACTGGAAATCCTGAGGCAGTAAGATAAAAGTATGAATCTGCCACAGTAAGTGGCTGAGTGAGAAGCCAAGAGGAAGCTGTGTGAGTAGCTCTCTCCTTTTCAATTTACCTCAACCTCAGACTATTTTCATACAAAGTTCACGGACCAAACTTTGAGAATCAGTAGTAGTCTATATGAACAGAAAACACTGGCATACAGTAGGAGGTCAACAAATAATTCATAGTCATGTTCACTTACTTCTGAATATCTCCAGTGTTTCTTTGTTTGTTCTTACTTTTCTTTTCAGACTTGGGTGTAACTGGATCAGATTTTCTGGAATTCAAGGGAGAAGCCGAGATACTTCCCTCACAGAAATTGTTCTTCAACAATAGAAAAAGCATAACAGACATTATGAGAGAGAACTTTATGATAAAATAAGCTATTAATTTGACTAATTCAGAAATCCATAGCATTTTTCAGAAATTATAGTTATATTTAAATTCTGTACATCTCTTGAAGAATATTGACCATGCAAAAATCAGAATAAACTATGTTCATCCAAGTTGGTCTAAATTAATTACATTTTTACTGTACATCAAGCACAAAATAAGGCATAATACTAACCTCATTAGCTGATAATTCCTGTTGATCTTTCTTTCCTTTTTTTTTTTTTTTTTGAGACGCAGTCTCGCTCTGTTGCCCAGGCTGGAGTGCAGTGGCGCGATCTCGGCTCACTGCAAGCTCCACCCCCGCAGGTTCATGCCATTCTCCTGCCTCAGCCTCCTGAGTAGCTGGGACTACCGGCGCCCTCCACCATGCCCGGCTAATTTTTTGTATTTTTTTTAGTAGAGATGGGGTTTCACTGTGTTAGCCAGGATGGTCTCGATTTCCTGACCTCATGATCTGCCTGCCTCGGCCTCCCAAAGTGCTGGGATTACAGGCATGAGGCACCGCGCCCGGCCTTTTTTTTTTTTTTTTTTTTTTTTTTAAGACAGGGTCTCACTCTGTCGCCGAGGCTGGAGTGCAGTGTAGCAATCATGGCTCCTTGCAACCTTGACCTCCCAGGTTCAAGTGATCCTCCCACCTTCACCTCCCAAGTAGCTAGGACTACAGGCATGAGCCACCAGGCTTGGTTAGGTGGGTTGTTTTTGTTTTATTTTGAGACAGAGTCTTGCTCTGTCATCCAGGCTGGACTGCAGTGGAGTGATCATAGCTCACTGTAGCCTCAACCTCCTGGGCTCAGGCAATCCTCCCATCTTAGCTTCTCGAGTAGCTAGGACACAGGCATGTGCCACCATGCCCAGCTACTTTTTTTTAAATGCTTTGTAAAGATGAGGTCTCACTATGTTGCCCAGGCTGGTCTCCAACTATTGGAATCAAGTGATTCCCCCACCACAGCCTTCCAAAGTGTTCGGATTATAGGTCTGTGCCACTGTGCCCAGCCTGTTGATTTTTCTAATAAATACTTTTATATAATTACTTTTATCTATATGGACATATTCAGAGAGCTGTGGATATACCCAAAAGAATAGTTTTATGTAATAATATTTTAGTTCTGGACTTTAAGGGCGTATTAATAAAAATCACAAATATTTACTTGCTGTACCAGTCTCGTAAGTTTCTTACTACCCTAATGGAAAAGTTCATATATGGTGATGGTGAATATTTGGCCTTAAACCACCAAACTTTCATAAATAAATAGAAAATTATTCTAGGTTGGGCATGGTGGTTCATGCCTGTAATCCCAGCACTTTGGGAGGCTGAGGTGGGTGGATCACATGAGGCCAGGAGTTCAAGACCAGCCTGGCCAACATGGTGAAACCCCATCGGCACTAAAAATACAAAAATTAACAGGATGTGGTGGCGGCACCTGTAATCCCAGATACTCTGGAGGCTGAGGCAGGAGCATCGCTTGAACCGGGAGTTGAGGTTGCACTACTGCACTCCAGCCTGGGTGACAGAGTGAGACTCTTGTCTCAAAAAAAAAAAAAGTTAAAAAAATTATTCTACAGTATCAATAAATCTACTCTTATAATACCATGGGAAAACTAGATATACTTCTTCCCTATTCCATTTATTATTCCATTGGTCAATGACTTTTATTTAGTTTCCTGATTGTGTATTTCTAAAGCGATTCTACTTAAAAAAGACACATAAAAAGGGGCATATAACCCAAAATTTGGGTACATTATTATTAATGGTAGGCCTCTCAAAAAAGAAAAAAATTCCCAATTCTGCGTATACTCATTTTGCTAAGTGTATATACATATATATTTTTTTATTCTATTGAACTTCCCATGATTCAATGGTAAGTGTATGTTAAGATATTCGTTGTTTGAAAGCTGAAGAATTGTTTTCACAGGCTCTCAAACCTGAATGTTTCACACTTCCCTACATGCCTCTGAAGATTGTATTCCCTAGGTCCCATCCCTAGAGACTCTGACTTAATAGATTTGGAGTAAATATGAGAGTTTGTATTTCAACAGCATTCCCAGGTTACTCTGCCAGGCTCGTTCAAACCACTGGGCCCCACAGTACCCTCTGATCTTAAAGTATGTGTTTTATCACACACCATTTAATTCATTTTCTTACAGGCAGCAATTTAACTACAGGAAGCAGAACATCCAAGTTTAATACATTATCTAAAAATTTAATGTGCCTTACTTTCAAAATGTGATTTACATCCATAAAATGGAATATTATTCCACTCTTTAAAAGAATTAGATTGACTACATGTAGTAATATGAAAAATCTCTACGATGTTATCAAGTGGAAAAAATGTAAGCAGCAAAACAGTGTGATTGCTTTATATAATCCTTTTTAGGTCAATAAAGAAAAAAAGCTTTTTTTTTTGAGATGGTCTTCCAGGTTGAAGTGCAGTGGCGAGATCAGCTCACTGTAACCTCAAACTCCTGGGCTCAAGGGATCCTCCTGCCTCAGCCCCTCCCAGCAGGTGGAGCTCCAGGCACGCACCATCACACTCGGCTCATTATTAATTTTTCTGAAGAAACAGGGTCTCACTTTGTTGCCCAGGCTGGTCTCAAACTCCTGGGCTCAAGCGATCCTCTCGCCTCAGCTTCCCAATGTACTGGGATTACAGGCCCGAGCCATCGCACCCTGGCAAGAAAAAAGTTGTAAGAAACTGTTAATAGTGGTTACCTTTGGGGATAGAGACTGATATAAATGGAAAAGGAACGGGAGTGGAGAGGTGGAAGAAGGAAAAAGGAAGCTTTCATTCTTCACTGAATAGCTTTCCTACATATAAAAAAGTTGTTAAACAACTTGCGGTGGCTCACGCCACAAACCCAGCACTTTGAGACGCCGAGGCAGATGGACGGCTTGAGCCCAGGAGCTCGACACCAGTTCAGGAAACATGGCAAAGCCCTGTCTCCACAAAAAAGTAGCCAGGCATGGTAGTGCCAGCCTGTAGTCCCAGCTACTCGGGAGGTTGGAAGGATCACCGGAGCCCGGCCGTCGAGGCTGCAGTGAGTCGTGATTGTGCCACTGCACTCCAACCTGCATGACAGAGTAAGACCTGTCTCAAAAAACAAAAAACCCCAAAAACCTGGATTAGAGCAAATATGTAACAATATGCAAAACAATTTTACTTTAAGTAAAGCAAAAATGTTATCAATAGCTTCTAATTATGGCAACGCCATCTCTTCTGTTCTTTGAAAACCACAGTCAAAGCAATCGGAATGTTAATAGTTAGCTTTCCGTATCAGCAGGTTCCAAACACTCAAATCCAACCAGCCTGGGGTGGAAAAGACAATATTTGTGGGATGCAGAACCTGGAAATACAAGGAGCTGACTCTTCCCATGAGCGGGTTCTGCAGCAGCGCATACCAAGGGATGACCATACCTTAGCGTTCCCTCCTAAAACTTACAATATCAATGCTTAGCTTTCTTGCCAGTTCCTCATCACTTTTCAGTTGTTCTTCCATCGCTCTTCGCCTTTTTTCTGCCTGTCTTTTTTCCTCTTCTTCCTCCTCTGCCAACAACCTCTGTATGTATTCTTCACTGGCTTTGTTTTCTTCTTCCTCGCTGGCCCGTCGCTCTGCCGCCACCTTAAAAGTGATTAATAAAGAGCAATCCTTCTCTGAACGTTTTGGTATACTTGCAATATTTCATAACAAGAATAGAAAAGTAGAAAAAGAACAAATTGGCAGAAATTTAAATGATCTCAAATGAAGTACAAATCTGGAGAAGTAGATTCCTGCAAGATAGCTGTCCCATCTCAGCCTCCCAAAGCACTGAAATTATAGGTGTGAGCCTCCACACCTAGCCTGAGATGTATTACAAGTGAAAATTATACACAAAATTTTGAAGACTAACAAAAAAAGAGAAAAATCTCTATTTATGTATAACTTCATATGTAATTAAAACATAATGCTTCACTATAAACACTGCTTTTTAGGTACTTTTCCTATTTAGGAACTTCACAGCTAGCCCTTTAACCTTTCCTCATCTAAACTCACACTCTACCACCCTTTTACTTTAAGCTCAAAACTTTGGGGAAATAAAAATATATCCTGGTATGGATTAAATTAGGAAAAAGAAGAATTAAAAAATTTTCTTCATATGTAAATGCTTAGGGAACACTATCACATAAGAGCATTAATTATGTAGAAGTAAATTACAGCAAAAAACAAAGCCCTTATAAAGTACATTAAAATTATCCATATTTTGGCCAGGCACAGTGGCTCACACCTATAATCCCAGCACTTTGGGAGGCCGAGGCGGGCGGATCACAAGGTCAGGAGATCGAGACCATCCTGGTGAACACTGTGAAACCCCATCTCTACTAAAAATACAAAAAAATTAGCCAGGCGTAGTGGCGGGCGCCTGTAGTCCCAGCTACTCGGGAGGCTGAGGCAGGAGAATGGCATGAACCCGGGAGGTGGAGGTTGCAGTGAGCCGAGATTGCGCCACTGCACTCCAGCCTGGGTGACAGAGTGAGACTCCATCTCAAAAAAAAAAAATTATCCATATTTCAAGATATACTAGTTATATAAGCACAAAAAACTAAATTAAAATCTGAAACTAAAAACACAGCAGAGAAATATTCCAAAAAAAAAAACTATTTAGCACCTACCTTGCTTATTTCCTCTTCATATTCTCTTCTCAGTTCCCCAGGTTTACTGAGCAGACGAACTGGCTGATAGTCATCAGCTATTTCATATCAAAAAAGAAAATAACATTATAGGCAACACAATTTTATGGTAACTTTGGTCTTCCATTAAAACGAAAAATTAAAATATACAACTATTAATAACTGCAGCAATATCTCCTTTTGGAATTCCATTTTTAACATTTATTTTATTTATTTATTTTAGATTTATTTTATTTATTTTTTTTGAGACAGAGCCTTGCTCTGCTGCCCAGGCTGGAGTGCAGTGGCACAGTCTCGGCTCACTGCAACCTCCACCTCCCAGGTTCAAGCGATTCTCCTGCCTCAGCCTTCTCCTGAGCAGCTGGGATTACAGGCATGCGCCACCACACCCAGCTAATTTTTTATATTTTTGGTAGAGTCAGGGTTTCACCACATTGGCCAGGCTGGTCTCGAGCTCCTGACCTCAAGTGATCCACCCGCCTTGGCCTCCCAAAGTGCTGCGATTACAGGTGTGAGCCACCACGCCCGGCCTGGAATTCCATTTTGTGAGGCCAGAGGTTTAGGGTTTTGGGTTTGAAATGGCATATGAATGCATATACTTAACCCTTCCTCTAAACTCCATTAAAATAACAGTAAAGGAATTTTTAAAAACTGTAATCCTACAACAGCAGAAATTAGCAGAGGAGGTTAACTGATTAAAAAAAAATGTTTTTTTTTTTTGAGACAGAGTCTTGCTCTGTCACCCAGGCTGGAGTGCAGTGGTGCAATCTCAGCTCACTGCAACCTCCGCCTCCCGGGTTCAAACAATTATTGTGCCTCAGTGTCCTGAGTAGCTGGGATCACAGGCATGCCCAACCATGCCCAGCTAATTTTTGTATTTTTAATACAGACCGGTTTTTGCCATGTTGGCCAGGCTGGTTTCGAACTCCTAATGTCGGGCAATCTGCTCACCTCAGCCTCCCAAAGTGCTGGGACTACAGGCGTGAGCCACCGTGCCCGGCTCCAGTTAAAAAATTTTTAACAAATTTCTAGAAAATGGGAAGGCAATGAAATAGAGATAATTGATACAGCAGAAATGAAGGAAAAGAAATCCTTGAAAGGGAAGACTACAGCTGAGGTAGAATTAGAAGGGAATCTGCCTCCTATTTGCCTAGAGAGAGGCTCATAGAGTCCAGAGTGAGTAACCGTGGGACTGAAAACAGAACTCGAGATTTATAAGCTGTTAAATCAGAATCCTCGACTTACCGGCATTTCTCCCTGGATATGGGTGCAGGTGCACACACGCATATTTCTTTAAAGAAACAGATCTAGAGAGAGCCAGAGCAGCTAATGTAATAGGTGGTGACCCAGAGCAAAGTCCTCTGCGATCGGGCAGTTAGGGATGGCAAAGCACAAAGGCCAGGTTTCCATCGGCTTGAACTCAACGTCTGCCCATCACCAATACCCTTCCACATACACAGAGCTTTTCTCCTGGGCCTCATTCTCAAACCTAAAAGCTAATCCAAGGATCGTCAGACATTTGAAATACATCTGCAGGACTAGGGAAACAGTAAGCTATACAAAGAGAAAAAATCATCACCCTGGAGTTGAAAGATAATTCTGGGTCAGAAAATAACCTAAATGTGGGTATGTATCCTCAACAAATCTGATGAGAATTTTATTCTATAAAACAAGACACTGTTTTATAAAGTGTAAAAAGGGAACATCCAAAAAAGAGAACGCATCTGTCTGTTTCAAGGGGCAGCTGCTACTCAACTCCAGCTGACTACGACTACCAGGAAACTCAGGCCTGTCCGTGCCATATTTTTTGCTTTCTCAAGAAAATCCAGAGGCGGCAGGGGTGGATGGTGAGAGATGACTTCATGGGTACAATGTACATTATTTGGGTAGCAGATACCCTAAAGAGCCCTGACTTCGCCACTGTGCAATCTATACATGTAACAAAATTACCCTTGCACCCCATAAATTTATCCAAGTAAAAAGAAAAAAAAAAAGAAAATCCAGCAATCAAGATGTTAATATGAAATCTTCCAACTTAAATAGTGGCATTGGATGGGTCACAAAAAACATGCACACAGGATTCCTATGGCCTGCAGGCCAGCAGTTTGAAAAATCTGCAACAGAGAGACTAAAAAACAGTGATGTAACTCCAAAACAATTAGGGATGCAGTATGCTGAATTCTCATTTATTTTAGTCACTAAGGAGGATCTATTCAAGACAATACAATGGTATACACAGGAGAGACATATATAAGGCTCCTTAAAAAGTAGAAGGATAATCAGCTGGCTTAAACTGAGACCTAGATCAGCAAGTCTTAAAGTAGAATCTACGAAACCCTGGAGGTATCTGAGACTTTTTTTCAGGGAAACTGCAGAGTCAAACTATTTTCATTTAAAAAATTAAAGTAAGCTGGGAGCGGTGGCTCACGCCTGTAATCCCAGCACTTTGGGAGGCTGAGGCAGGCGGATCATGAGGTCAGGAGTTCGAGACCAGCCTGGCCAATATGGTGAAACCCCGTCTATACTAAGAATACAAAAATTAGCCAGGCGTGGTGGCACGCACCTGTAGTCTCAGCTACTCGGGAGGCTGAGGCAGTAGAATAGCTTGAACCCGGGAGGCGGAGGCTGCAGTGAGCCGACATTGCACCACTACACTCCAGCCTGGACGACAGAGGGAGATTCCGTCTCAAAACAAACAAACAAAGAAACAAACAAAAAACCCAAATAAAACAACTGACAGTAGGCCGGGCACAGTGGCTCATGCCTGTAATCACAGCATTTTGGGAGGCCGAGGCAGGTGGATCACTTGAGGTCAAGAGTTTGAGACCAGCCTGACCAACACGGTGAAACCCGTCTCTACCAAAAAATACAAAAAGCCGGGAGTGGTGGCAGGCACCTGTAATTCCAACTACTCGAGAGGCTGACACAGAAGAATTGCTTGAACCCGGGAGGCGGAGCTTGCAGTGAGCCGAGATCACGCCACTGCACTCCAGCCTGGGCGACAGAGGGAGGCTCCGTCTCACAAACAAACAAAAACACATGTTCAACATTACTAGTCATTAGGGAAGTGCAAATCCTGAGTACGGAGATACCGCTTCAGAGGACAGCCAACACTTGGTTTTTTTTTTATAATAGTCATCCATTAAGATATATACACACACATAATGGAGTATGCGGCCAAAAAAGGAAATGGAATGGACACGTGCTAGAACACGATGGACCTTCAAGACACTACGCTGCGTGAAACAGCCAGTCACCAAAGGACAGACACTGTGTGGGGTTCCACTCGTACGAGACACCTAGAGCAATTAAACCCGTAGAGGCAGAAAGAATGGAGGTCGCCAGCAGCCAGGGGAGGGGTGAATGGGGAATTAATTATTGTTTAATGGGCAGTTTCAAGCGTGGAAGATGAGAAAGTTCAGAGATGAATGGTGGTGACGGCTGCACAAAAACATGAATGTACTTCATGTCACGCAACTGTCCATTTAAAAATGGTTAACATGGCGGATTTTATGTTATGTATCTTTTACAATAAAACTGGAAAAAAAGTAAATCACTTTACACATTAGATACAATAAAATAGTAGCTAAGAGGCTGGGCACAGTGGCTCATGCCTGTAATCCCAGCACTTTGGAAGGCTGAGGCAGGAGGACCACTTGAGCTCAGGCTATCAAGACCAGCCTGGGCAACATAGCAAGACCCCATCTTTGTTCAAAAAAATTTTTTTTAAGTAGCTAATTTAGGAAAACAATAATAAGACAGATGTATTATACTAGAAAGCAAAACATATCATTAAGCAGAATTAAACTAAGCATGTGTGGTACTGACACAGCTACTGATAAAGAGATAGTTAAAAAATAAAAAGCCCAGGCAAGGTGCCATGGCTCATGCCTGTAATCCCGGCACTTTGGGAGGTGGAGGCAGGCGGATCACTTGAGGTCAGGAGTTCAAAACCAGCCTGGCCAACAAGGCAAATAACCCTATGTCTACTAAAAATACAAAAATTAGCCACGTGTGGTGGTGCACGCCTGTAATCCCAGCTACTCAAGAGGCTGAGACAGGAGAATCGCTTGAACCCGAGAGGCAGAGGTTGCAGTGAGCCAAGATCGCACCATTGCACTCCAGCCTGGGTGACAGAGAGAGACTCCATCTCAAATAAATAAATAAATAAATAAATAAAATAAATAAATAGCCCCAAATTGCTCTGGAAAATAAGCATATGATTAGTGAAATAGTACGTATATCAATGTGGCTGTATTACTACCAAGTAGTGTGGCTATTAAGTGGCAATCAAGGGCAGGGGGAGTTAAGATGCCTACCTCATACAATACTCGAATTCAAGGTGGATTAAAAAATGGAAAAAAACAAAACTATAAACGACTAAGAAGAACATATGAGATAAATTCCAAAACAATTAAAACTTCCATGTGATGAAAGACATCACAAAGTTAAAAACAAACTAGAAGTTATTTGCAAATACATAAATCACCAGAGAATTAGTGTCCAGAATATAACTAGAACTTCCACAGATCAATTAAAAACCACAACAGGCAAAGGAAAGGCACGTGCGATTTACAGAAGATGCCCAACTACAGCAAGCAGAGAGCTGAACTTTTGTTAAACCGTGGAATGACAGATTTTTAAAGTTTACTTATTTCTACATAAACTGAATCTAAATTAAGATCAGTGAGTTATTCAACTGCAGACACAAGTTAAAATTGTCTTCATTTGCCTTTTTCTTTTGTTTTTGGAAACAAGATCTCACTCTTGCCCAGGCTGGAGTTCAGTGGCGGGATCATAGCTCACTGCAGCCTCCAACCCCTTGGCTGAAGCGATTCTCCTGCCCTAGCCTCCTGAAGCACTGGGATAACAGGTGTGAGCCACTGCATCCAGTCCATTTGCTATTTCTTTTTCTTCTTTGACGGAGTTTCGCTCTTGTTGCCCAGGCTGGAGTACAATGGCGCAATCTCAGGTAACTGCAGCCTCCACCTCCCGGGTTCAAGCAATTCTCCTGCCTCAGCCTCCTGAGTAGCTGGGATTACAGGCATGTCCCACCACGCCCAGCTAATTTTTTGTAATTTTAGTAGAGACGGGGGTTTTACCATGTTGGCCAGGCTGGTCTTGAACTCCTGACCTCAGGTGATCCACCTGCCTTCCAAAGTGCCAGGATTACAGGTGTGAGCCACCGTGCCCAGCCTTCCATTTGCTATTTCTTTCTTTTTTTAAATTTATTTTTTTTTTTTTTTGAGACAGAGTCTCACTTTGTCACTCAGGCTGCAGTGCAGTGGTGCAATCTCAGCTCACTGCAGTGTCCACCTCCCAGGCTCAAGCAATGCTACTGCCTGAGCCTCCCATGTAGCTGAGACTACAGGCGCCCACCACCACACCCGGCTAATTTTTGTATTTTTTGTAGACGGTTTTGCCCTATTGGCCAGGCTGGTCTCACACTCTCAGGCTCAAGCGATTTGCCTGCCTTGAACTCTCAAGTACTGAGATTACAGGTGTGAGCCCCCGCACCTGGCCTGTTTGCTATTTCTTAAACAACTCTAATTTTATAAGAAATTTGAATATCTCAGTTTTATAGTCTTAAAGTGACTATACAATTTTTGCCATCTGTTGGAAACAACTCTCGACACTCTTCAGTTCTGGTTAACTCTAAAATTTCTGCTGAAACCCACTTCGGTTAAACATTCCTACTCTACTCGATATTTTGCTTCTTCGCAGCAAGTGGTCTTCCTAGGCGGCCAGGACTCATTTAAGGAAATATGTCCCCATGCTTTTTATTTTATTTTGAAGGAAAAATTCAAGTTAGTTAAAGACCTGAATGTATAATACTGGATGAAAAATAAAAATAAATAATAAGCCTTAACTTGAACAGTTGAGCTGTTCATAAAACTGCCCTCCCATCACTGAACTAGACTGCAGCTCCATGTAAATGGCAGTTTCCTTCTCCCAATTAAATGTGCATTCCTGGGCTGGGCACAGGGTACAAAATAAAGAGATAGTTAAAAAATAAAAAGCCCAAAGTTGCTCTGGAAAATAAGCATATGATTTGTGAAGCAGTATGTACATCAGTGTGGCTGGATCATCACCAAGTAGTGTGGCTATAAATGGCAATCAGGGGCAAAGTGCTCACACCTGTGATCCCAGCACTTTGCGAGGATGAGGCAGGAGTATCACTTGAGCTCAGGAGTTCAAGACCAGCCTCGGTAACATAGTGAGACCCTATCTCTACAAAAAATAAAAAAATTAGCCTGGCGTAGTGGTGTGTGCCTGTGGTCCCAGCTACTCAGGAGGTTGAGGTGGGAGGATTGCTTGAGCCCGGGCGGTGGAGGGTACAGTGAGCCAAGATCGCTCCCTGGCATTCCAGCCTGGGCGACTAAGTGAGACCCTGTCTCGAAAATAAAATAACATAAACTAAATTTGCACTTTCTGCCTCAATATTTATTTTGAAAATTTTCAAATCTACAGAAATTGCAAAAATAGTATGATAAACCCCCGTTTAACCTGCATTTAGATTCATGAAGTTTTTAAACTGCCACATTGCCTTTCGTGTGTGTGTGTGTGTATTTTCTGAACCATTTGAAAGTTGCATGATCATAACCCTTCACCAAATCCTTACGTGTCCACCTCATAAGAGATGCTGTCCTTATCTCTTGATTTGATATACAATGATCAAGTTCAAGAAAATTAACATTGATATATTACCCATCATATCAATGATAAAAATTTCACCAACTATCCCCATGTCTTTAATAACAACCTTTGTCCTAATCCATGTTCTAATCCAGGGTCATGCACTGCATTTAGCTGTCATTCTCTTTTAATCTCCCTTTCAACTAGAATGATTCCTAAGGCTTTGCCTTCATGACACTGACATTTTTGAGGTACTAACAACTACGTTTTGTAGAATTTCAATTTGGGTTTTTGTTTTCTCACAGTTAGATTCAGGTTATGCCTTATACTCGTCCTATCAGGAGGACCGCAATGTTTGTTTGTTCCATGGATAACGTTAACTGTGATCACTTCATTACTGTGGTAACAGGCTTCTCGACTGTATCCTTCACCCTTTGTAATTAATAAGCAATCTGTAAGATGATATTTTCAGACTATATGAGTCCTCCGTTCTCCGGCAAATTTTCAAGCAGGGATTTTGGCATCCGTTTGTAATTCTTGCCTGCATCAATTTTTACAGTGACAGTCGCAAACAGAAAGGAAATTTAGACATTCTAAGGCTGATTCTTCCCTACTATAGGATTCTTTTTTGAGAAATCCAAATGTAAAACACACCTGTCTCCGTCACACTAATTCACTTTCAAATACTTCATTTTTTAAAGCTATCTCATATGTGCTTTCTTACAACCTTCCTTCCATAAATTAAAAATACATAAAGTAAATGAGTAGATTCACTTTATGTATTATGTGTTAACAAAGTTAACACAGAAACACCAATTATATTTTTATAAATTATCAATGAACAATACTGAAAATTTTTTAAAATTTACTTAAAACAGTCTCAAAAGCCATAATATAATTAGGGATAAATATTAGTTTCTTAGGGCCACCATAGAAAAGTACCACAAATTGCGTGACTTGAAAATACAGCAATTTATTTTCTCACAGTTCTGGCTAAAAGTCCAAAATAAATGTGTCAGCAGGGCCATGACACTTTTCAAACTTGTAGGGGATCCTTCCTTGCCTCTTCCTTGCTTCTGACAGTATGCTGATAACCTTAGACGTTCCTTGGGTTGTAAATACATCACTCCAGTCCTCCAGCCTCACGTGGTACTCTGTGTCTTTACATCATCTTCCTTCTGTGCGTGTCTGTCTCTGTGTCCAAATTTCTCCTTTTTATAAGGAAACCAGTCATAATGGATTAGGGCCCATTCTAATGACCTTATTTTAACTTCATTACTGAAAAAAATTGAAGGTGACCTACACAAACAGAGAAATATACTATTTTCATGGATACAAGGACTCTGTTGCTGTTTGGATGTCAATTCTCCCCAAATTGTTCTATTAAGTTCAATGCAACCCCAATCAAACTCCTAACAGGCTGTTAGTAGAAACTGGTAAGTTGATTGAAAAATTTAAATAGGCTGGGTGTGGCGGTTCAGGCCTGTAATTCCAGCACTTCAGGAGGCTGAGACGGGAGGACTGCTTGAGGTGAGCTGTTCAAGACCAGCCTGGGCAGCATAGCAAAACCCCGTCTCTACATACAAAGAATAAATATACGGAGGACGGGCACGATGGCTCACGCCTGTAATCCCAGCACTTTGGAAGGTCGAGGCAGGAGTATCATCTGAGGTCAAGAGTTCGAGACCAGCCTGGCCAATGTGGTGAAACTCCCGTCTCTATTAAAAATACAAAAATTAGCCAGGCATGGTGGTACATGCCTGTAATCGCAGCTACTCAGGAGGCTGAGGAAGGAGAACTGCTTGAACCTGGGAGGCAGAGGATGTAGTGAGCTGAGATCACGCCACTGCACTCCAGCCTAGGCAACAGAGCAAGACTCTGTCTCAAAAAGAAAAAAAAAGATTTACTCTAAAGTCACAGTAATCAAGACAGTGTGACACTAATATTAGAATCAACGGATCAATGAAATAGAATAGACCCACATTATTTTTTTTAAAAAGTCTTTTCAACAAAAGGTACAGAAATAACTGATACCCATATGGGAAAAAGTTAACCTCAACCCCCTAACTTATACAATATTCAAAATTAATTTGAAATGGATCAAAGACCTAAACATAAAAGTTAAAACTGGCCAGACACAGTGGCTCACACCTGTAATCCTCGCACTTTGGGAGGCCAAGGCAGGCGGATCACGAGGTCAGGACTTCAAGACCAGCCTGGCCAACATGGTGAAGCCCCATCTCTACAAAAAATACAAAAATTAGCCAGGCATGGTGGTGCGTGCCTGTAGTCCCAGCTACTCAGGAGGCTGAGGGAGGAGAATCGCTTGAACCTGGGAGGTGGAGGTTGCAGTGAGCCATCACGCCACTGCACTCCAGCCTGGGCGACACAACGAAATTCAGTCTCCAAAAAAAAAAGGTAAAACTATAAATCTTTTAGAAAAAAAAATAGCAATATCTTAGCCTGAAGGTAGCTAAAGGTTTCTTAGACCATAAAAAGCAATAAACTATAAAAGGAAAAATTTATGAGACTTCATGAAAATTAAGAATTTCAGCTCGTCAAAACAATTAAGAATATCTGGCAAAGTACCAGTATTCAAAATACATAAATAATGTCTACAACTGAATATAAACAATTTAGGGGAAAAAGAATTAAACAGACACTTTACAATGGAAGAGGGCAAAACTGTCAATAAGCACATGAAAAAGAACACTATCATTAGTTACCTGGAAATTGAAATTAAAACAAGATACTACTATCAATACAAATCAACTGGAATGGTTAAATCTAAAAAGACAGATAACATCAAAAGTTGGTAAGATGTACGGCAACCAGAACCTGTATGCTGTTGGTGGGATTACAAAATGACACAACCACTTTCGAAAAAGATCTGGTAGTTTCTTCTTTCTTTTTTTGAGATGGAGTCTCACTCTGTCACCGAGGCTAGAGTGCAGTGGCGCGATCTAGGCTCACTGCAACCTCTGCCTCCTGGGTTCAAGCAATTCTCTGCCTCAGCCTCCCGAGTGGCTGGTATTACAGGTGCCCGCCACCACACCCGGCTAATTTTTGTATTTTTAGTAGATGGGGTTTCAGCATCTTGGCCAGGCTGGTCTTGAACTCCTGACCTTGTGATCCACCCGCCTCGGCCTCCCAAAGTGCGTGAGCCACCATGCCTGGCAGGTAGTTTCTTATAAAAATATGTACCTATTCTACGTTGCGTAATTCCAGCTCCTAAGTATTTAACCAAAAAAACCCTGAAAACATAAGGCCACACATACACACACAGAGACACAAAAACTTGCACAAGAACCTTCTCAGCAACTTTATTCATAATATCCAAAACTGCAAGCAACTGAAGCACTGTATCAGTGGAGAATGGCCAATCATATACAGCATAGTCAATGGTGGAATAATACTTAAAAAACGAATATCTACACAAGAATAAATCTTGAGGCCAGGCGCGGTGGCTCATGCCTGTAATCCCAGCACTTTGGGAGGCCGAGGCGGGTGGATCACCTGAGGTCAGGAGTTCGACACCAGGCTGGGCAACATGGTGAAACCCCATCTCTACTAAAAATACAAAAATTAGCCAGGCATGGTGGTGCGTGCCTGTAATCCCAGCTACTTAGGAGGCTGAGGCAGGAGAATCACTTGAACCCAGGAGACGGAGGTTGCAGTGAGCCGAGATCCTGTCACTGCATTCCAGACTGGGTGACAGAACAAGACTGTCTCAAAAAAAAAAAAAGAATAAATCTTGAACCTTATGCTGAATAACCCCCCAAAAGATATGCTTAAGTCCTAACTCCCAGTAACTAAGAATGTGGTCTTAACTGGAAACAGGTTGTTACAGATATAATGGAGTTCATACAAAGAGTACAGAGCCTTTAATCCAATATAACTAGTGTCCTGGTAAAAAAAAAAGAGAGAGACACAGAGGAGACGGCCATGTAAAGACAGACACACCGGGAAACTCTACGTGCCAATGGAGGCAGAGACTGGAGTGACTCAGCTGCAAACCAGGAACACCATGGATTCCAGCCACACCAGAAGCTAAGGAGAAGGGCACGGAACAGATTCTCTCCCAGAGCCTTCAATGTACATGTCCCTGCTCCCTGCTAGCATCTTGGGTTTGGAGTTCTACTCTTCAGAACTGAGGGAGAATAAATTTCTGCTAAGTTCGTGGTACTTTGTTACAGTAGCCCTAGGAAATAAAAAGAATTCCATTTATATGAAGTTCCAGAACAGAAAAAACTCATCTATGGTGGATAAAAACTAAAACAGCCCGGACGCGGTGGCTCACGCTTGTAATCCCAGCACTTTTGGAGGCCAAGACAGGTGGATCACGAGGTCAAGAGATTGAGACCATCCTGACCAACACAGCAAAACCCCATCTCTACTAACAATACAAAAATTAGTTGGGTGTGGTGTCGCATGCCTGTAATCCCAGCTACTCAGGAGGCTGAGGCAGGAGAATGCCCACAACTCAAAAAAACAACCTGATTAAATGACAGGCAAAGTTGTGGCTTTTTCTGGGTTTTGGGAGAAAAACAGAAACAAAAAGAATGAATGAGCACAGGATTTGAATAGATATTTCATATTTTTCCGAAGATGATATACAAATGGCCAATAAATGCATGCAAAGATGCTCGCCATCCTTAGTCATTGGGGACATGCAAATAAAAACCACAATGGGATACCACCTCATACTCACCAGGATGGCTACTATCAAAACCCAGAAAATAGCAAGTGTTGGCGAGGGTGCAGAGAAACTGGACACCCACGCACTGTTGGTGGGAATGTAAAACGGTACAGTCACTGTGGAAAACAGTATGGCGGTTTCCAAAACCAATCACACATAGAATTACCATAGGATCTAGAAATTCCACTTCCAGGTATACACCCAAAAGAATAGAAAACAGGCCCCTGAACAGACATTTGTACACCCAAGTTCACACCAGCATTATTTCTAATAGCCGAGAAGTGGAAGCAAGCCAAGTGTCCACTGACAGAGGAACAGATTTCTTTTAATGTAGCATATACATACACTGGAACATTATTCAGCCTGGAAAAGAAGGGAATGCTGTCACATGCAGTATGGATGAACCTGGAAAACATTACGCTAGGTAAAACAGGCCAGACACAAAAGGACAAAACCTATGAAAATTCCACTTACAGGAGGTACCTAGAAGCAGTCGGGTTCACAGAAATGGAAAGGAGAACGGTGGTTGCCAGGGGATAGTAGGAGGGAGGAACGGTGAGCCTCAAGGGTGTGGAAATTCAGTTTGGGAGGATTAAAAAGTTCTGGAGATGGACGGTGGTGACGGATGCACAGCAGTGTGAACGGAGGCGATGCCACTGAACCATACAATTACAAACGGTTAAAATTTTCCTCCCTTCTTTCTAGTCAAAAACATTTTTAAGTGGTTAAAATGGTAATCTTGCTATATTTTACCACAATTTTTTTTTTTTGAAACGGAGTCTCGCTCTGTCTCCCAGGCTGGAGTGCGGTGGCGTGATCTCGGCTCACTGCAAGCTCCGCCTCCCGGGTTCACGCCATTCTCCGGCCTCAGCCTCCCGAGTAGCTGGGACTACAGGCGCGTGCCAACATGCCCGGCTAATTTTTTGTATTTTTAGTAGAGAGGGGGTTTCACCGTGTTAGCCAGGATGGTCTCGATCTCCTGACCTCGTGATCCGCCCGCCTCGGCCTCCCAAAGTGCTGGGATTACAGGCGTGAGCCGCCGCGCCCGGCCCCGCAATTTTTTGACACACAGAGTTAAGATACCAGTTCACATGTACTAGCATGGCACGGAAAATAACAAGTGTTGGTGAGGAAGTGAAGAAACTGGAAACTTCGTACTCTGCTAATGGAAATGTAAAATGGTACAGCCACTGTAGAAATCAATGTGGCAGTTCCTCAAAAAGCTAAACACAGAATTACCATAGGATCCAGCAATTCCACTCGTAGATATATAGACAAAAGAACTGAACACAGGTATTCAAACACATACTGGTACATAAATGTTCGTATCGCCAGTATTCAAATAACGAAAAGGTGAAAAAAACCAATGTCCAGCCAATGGATAAACAAAATGTAACAAGTATATCCGTAAAACAAATTATTATTCAGCCCGAAAAATGAAGTACTGATCCATGCCACACTGTACATGAACCTCAGAAACACGCTAAGTGAAATAAGCTAGACACACAAGATCCTATATTGCATGAGTCCCTTCTATGAAATACCTAGAATGGCCAGATTCATAGAGACAGAAAGTGGAATAGAAGGTGCCGAGGCTGGGGGGAAAGGTGAAATGGGGAGTCAGTGCCTCACGGTTAGAGTTTATCTGGGGTGATGAAAAGTTCTGGAAACAGTGGTGATGGTTACATTGTGAATGTAATTAATGCTATTGAATTGTACTTAAAAATGGTTAAAATGTCAGTTTGTTATATACATTTTGGACAATATTTTAAAAATAACGCAATATACCAAAAACCATTAAATTGCACACTTTTAAACATTTTACTGAATTTATGTTACCCAGACCGGCCTCAACTCCTGGGTTCAAGAGATCCTCCCACCTCCGCCTCCCAAAGCGCTGGGATTACAGCTGTGAGCCATCGCTCCCGGCCAACCGCACACTTTTAGTAGGTGAATTGTATGGTCTGCGAGCATTTGAATAAAGCTTTTTCTTTTAACTATTGTTTAAAAATGTTTAAAATGGCATTTTTTTACAATAAAATAAACGTATGTTTAAAAGGCAGGTACACATATAACTGTGACCAAAAAAAATTAGAAAAAAAAAAAAAAAAAAAAAAAAAAAGACCTGTCCACGAGAGAACGGAGACACCATATCCTAAGCCCAGACAGGAACCACCGCCCGGCTTATTGCTCACATTAGTGGAGGAAAGAGTCAAGGGTTCAGTTTGGGGCTCCTGAGTCTACCGGGTGCAGGGTTGAGTGATAAAAAAGCGACTTTAGCCTCGTCGCATGATTAGGAGAATCAAGAATTAAATGAATGGAGATGTATAGATAAGTAAATCAGAGGCCGGGCGCGGTGGCTCAAGCCTGTAATCCCAGCATTTTGGCAGGCCGAGGCGGGCGGATCCCTTGAGGTCAGGAGTTTGAGATCAGCCTGGCCAACATGGTGAAATCCCGTCTCTACTAAAAAACAGAAAAATTCCCCGGGCGTGATGGTGCACGCGTGTAACCCCAGCTACTCGGGAGGCTGAGGCAGGAGAATCGCTTGAAACCGGGAGGCGGAGGTTGCAGGGAGCCGAGATCGCGCCACTGCACTCCAGCCTGGAGGACGGAGCGAGATCCTGTCTCAAAAAAAAAAAAAAGAAGGCTCCAGACGGGCAATTCTTTAATTTTTAACACAACAAACACCCATCGAACACAGCGCGGGCATTTTGACAATGGACAAAATCTTGCCCTTGACTTTATAATCCATCGACATTTGGGGACCCATAAACCCCCTAACCTCTGAGAACTATTTAGACAAATACTAGTCGGGTTTTTTGGTTTGTTTTTACTTTTTAAATGGAAAAGTGATGATTCACCTTTTCAAAGACTTGCGGCTTTTGGCCAACAAACACGCCATGGTTTACTCACCCACTTCCTCTGATTCTTGGCCAGACGCTCTAAGCTTGCACTCCCTGGGATAGTGTTTTTGAATTATCGTCCACAGTTCCACGTTGACGAGAGAATTTCTTCGGGTATGGTACCGAGTCCACGACGATACCCGGCGGCGACAGAAGGGACAGCATAAACTCGCCTTTTCGACGGTCGACTGGAAGCACGGTTTACACAGCGTGTGGTTACACGGGAGGGTGACGGGCTCCACGAGGATTTCCATGCAGATCCCGCACTGGCACTCGGACAGCGAGGGGATGGCGTCTTTGGGTAGAGCCATTTCAATATGTTAGTAAAGCCGACTAAACAACGACACCTGCACGAAAAAGAATCCTATTTTCGGCCAACCACAGAGAGAGCAAAAGCAGTTTTGTGTTTCAGTATTATGCCCAGAAGCGTATCAGAATTCGGAGAACAGGAGCATCCAACACGTCTTGAAGCAAAAAGGCGCTCTCAGGGTCAGGCAAACAGGAATACCCCGGAGGGCGGCGTCTTTGTCCATTTTCAAGGCAAACGTCCCGCCAGCAAATAAATGCAGGTTTTCGTCGGAGGAGCCTGGCTGCTCCGCGGCATGAACACCGCGGCTGCGGCTCCCGGGGCAGCGAGGGGAACGCGCCAAGTCCTCTCCTCCCCTCACCCGGAAAGGATGCTCCGCTCAGCTCGGGGCAGCCGGGCCCCGGGACGCGGCTCCGGGAGGAAGCCCGGGCTCCGGCTGCAGCATAACTTCCGCTTTACCGCTGCTGCGGGGGAGACGCGCGACTCCCGTGTTCACCTTTCGGGCGCCTGGCGCAGTTTCCCAGAGCTCCGCGCCCCCGTCCCTCCTACGCAGCCAGAAACCCTATTCGTTGCGGCAGCGCAGCAGCCACCGGACAAGCGCTAGCAACGTCACAACCGCCCGCCAAAATCGCACTTCCCACCCAGAAAACTGCCCAAGGGCGAACGTTCCCGGGGCGGGACTTCCGGGGTCTGCGCGCCGCCCGCCCTCCCTCCCAGCCGGAGACGGTCCCGCCCTGGCGTCGCAGCCCCGCCTAGTGCAGCCTGGGTGGAGCCTGACCTTTCCCTGAGATTTCTGCGAGGCCTCAGACACCCCTGGTTTCTTGGTTTCTGGGTAGAAAAAGGGAAACCTCAAAACAAAATCAACAGCCAAACAAGGCCGGGTGCGGTGGCTCACGCCTGTAATCCCAGCACTTCGGGAGGCCGAGGCGGGCGGATCACCTGAGGTCAGGAGTTCAAGACCAGCCTGGCCAACATGGTGAAACCCCCGTCCTTACTAAAAATACAAAAATTAGCTGGGCATTGTGACAAGCTCCTGCAATTCCAGCTACTCAGGAGGCTGAGACAGGAGAATCGCTAAACCTGGGAGGCAGAGG
The DNA here is from genome assembly GCF_000001405.40 of Homo sapiens. Taxonomy (NCBI): domain Eukaryota; kingdom Metazoa; phylum Chordata; class Mammalia; order Primates; family Hominidae; genus Homo; species Homo sapiens. The sequence continues at coordinate 196,504,264 of NC_000003.12, forward strand.
CTGCAGTGAGCCGAGATTGTGCCACTGCACTCCAGCCTGGGGGACAGAGCAAAATTCCACCTCAAAAAATACAAATAAATAAATAGATAAAAGAATTGGGGTCTCACTGTTTTATCCAGGCTGGACTACAACTCCAGGGTTCCAGGGATTCTTTCGCCTCAGCCTCTGGAGTAGCTGGGTCTAGAGCTTGCAACTCCATAGCCAGCTCCGGACCTGCATTTTTTGAGGGAATCAATCAGTGTGAAGGAAGAGAAAAGAAAATCACTGTGCGTGAAAGCAGCCTTTAAGTTGTTTTGAGGCTGCTGAGAGCATTCAGGCTGGGTAGGGGATGGTTTCCAGGTTGAGAACAACGAGGAGACATCGGTCGTTGGTAGAAGTCTTTGGGAACTTTCATTTCAATGTGGGTTCAGAAACCTGTTATTGTCTGTGATAGCTCACACCTGTAGTCCCAGCACTTTGGAAGGCCAAGGCGGGAAGATCAGTGGAGCCCAGGAGTTCAGGTCCAGCCTGGGCAACATAGTGAGACCCTGTCTCTACAAAAAATAAAAAAATTAACTCGGTGTGCTGGCTCACACTTATACTCTCAGCTACTCTGGTGGCTGAGGTGGGAGGATCACTTGAGCCCAGGAGGTCAAGGCTGCAGTGAACAGTGATCGTACCACTGCACCCCAGCCTGGGTGACAGGGCAAGACCCTGTCTCAAAAAAAAGAAAAAAAAAAGAAACCTGGGACTGTCATCTGGTTGTCTACAGTAACAGTACCTTAGCTTGGAATTTCAGGCTTGTTTTTTGTTCGTTTGTTTGTTTTTTTGAGATGGCTCCTCATTCTGTTGCCCAGGTTGGAGTGCAGTGGTTTGATCTCAGCTTACTGCAACCTCCACCTCCTGGGTTCAAGCGATTCTCATGCCTCAGCCTCCCGAGTAGCTGCAATTACAGGCGCGTGCCTTGTAATACCACGTGCATTGTAATACCACGCCTGGCAAATTTTTGTATTCTTAGTAGAGATGGGGTTTCACCATGTTGGCCATGCTGGTCTCGAACTCCTGACCTCAGGTGATCCACCGGCCTTGGCCTTCCAAAGTGCTGGGATTACAGGCGTGAGCCACTGCACCTGGCCTTCAGGCTTCCTAATATGTCCACAACCTGCTTTTCCCATCGAATCTCCCATTATTCTTTTAAACATGCAACTATGATTTATTCTCTGTCATCCAAACGTTTTGCTTTCATGACATTGCTTTCTCGGTTCATCCTAAATGGGTTGCTTTGTGGCTGTGCCTACTTCAAACACCAATTTAATGCAGTTGGGCCAGGCACGGTGGCTCATGCCTGTAATCCCAGCACTTTGGGAGGCCAAGGAGGGCGGATCACAAGGTCAGGAGTTCGAGACCAGCCTGACCAACATGTTGAAACTCAGTCTCTACTAAAAATACAAAAATTAGCTGGGCATGGTGGCAGGTGCCTGTAATCCCAGCTAGTCGGGAGGCTGAGGCAGAAGAATTGCTTGAACCCGGGAGGCAGAGGTTGCAGTGAGGCCAGATTGCACCACTGCACTCCAGCCTGGGTTGACAGAGCAAGACTCCGTCTCGAAAAAAAAAAAAATTAATTCACTTCTTCCAGAGTGCACTTTTATGTGCAATTTAATGCACTCCCCACCACCAGTAATGCCCCTTTTCTAAACTCACCCAGTCATATATTGCCCAGTGATACTGATTTTTATTGCAGTTTTACTATTGAACTCCTGTATTTTGATTTCTATCTTCAGGTGCTTATGTCTTGTGTAATGGATATATTTCATGTACTTCCTCAGATTTCCTTCACTTTGTTTGCTTTCTGTACCCATAATCACTTGCTCTTTTTGGGGCTCACCAGTTGCATTTCCGGAATCTCTGGCTTCTCCTGCCACTTCTGAACAATGCAGGAGCTGACTTCTCAGAGGCTGCTAGGGCCTCGGTAATGCATGCTGGGAGGGTGGGGGGGTCACTCCCCATGGAGTAACTTTCACCAATTGAAACCAGTGGACTGACCGAGCACAATACTTAAATTCCCTTTTCTTCTTCCTTCCAAGGATGGTTTCTCCAGTGTGTCTGGAGACAGGCAAGACTGAGGGAGTGTGCCTGCTGAAAAAGCTGCTGTGTCTCTTGTGGCTCATTTTCAAGGAGGGGACAGCAAGGTAACACATCACCATGTATTACTTCACATCCTTCTCTACCTAACTTCCTTCCAGCTTTCTTCACTCTGGCTGTCCTGAATTTGTACCTCCCAAATAAAGCATCGGCACTTAATCTTTACCTCGAGGGCAGGATCCACATTTTTAATGTTTCTGTTATCCACAGTACCTAGTACATGGCATTTGGTATTCGATAAATATTATAAATAAATGGTCAAGATGTAAGAATCTCCTTTCTGGTATAAATAACTATGGTACTTCATTAGAGAACAAATACACATTAAGATACAATTTATAGGATCTCATGATGTATATTTTAGGTGTTTTTGTTTTAATTTATGAAAATAGAGATGAGGTCTCACTATTGTTACAGCTCTTACTCCCGAATTTGATGAGTTCTGAGTTGTTGTCCCATGACTGAGAAGAATGAGGTACACGGACACTGGAGAGTGAGTAAGGCAAAGTAGAATTTATTGAGTGACAGAACGGCTCTTGGCAGTGAGAGGGGACCCGAAGGTGGGTTGCTGGCCACGAGCCTGAGTCTATGGGTTTTTGTGGGCTAGAAATGGGCAAGTGCATGCTGATTGGTCTGTGGCTATGCTTGACAAAGCACCATTCAGAAATAGGCACGATAGTGTAGAGGACCAATCGCGGAAGGGTAGGTATGTATAAAATAGGTGAAGGGTAAGGACCAATCAGGAGAGAGGGTGCCAGACGAGAATGGGAGCTCTCAGTCTGGCTCATGGATTTATCCAGAACTCATAGCTTGGTTTTCAGGCTTTAGACTGTCCTTGGCTTGAAGGTTGAGTTTCACCAGGGACCCCTCCCTGTCTGCCTAGGAATTTACCTGCCTCCTATTGCTATCACTGTGTTGCCCAGGCTGGTCTGAAACCCCTGAGCTCAAGTGATCCTCCTACCTTGGCCTCCTAAGGTGCTTGGATTATAGGCATGAGCCACCATGTCCGGCCTTGTTTATTTTTTAAATAGGTAATACATTCACATGGTTCAAAATTGAAAATGTAAAAAATGGATTAACAGTGAAAAGACTTCCTCTTGTCTTTGACCCCTAGCCTCTTAGCTTTCTTTCCTGACAACTAATGTTATCACTGTCTTGTGTATCTCTGCAGAAGAAGTTTATGGATATGTAAACTAATATGTGTTATATATATATTTATATATATATATTTGTCACCTTTTTTCCACTTAGCAATGTATATTGGAAATAAACATTTGAAAACAACAATACATTTGGTGATCACTTCATATCATTACACAAAGAGCTTCTTCATTCTTTTATATGGCTGCAAAGAAAGTATCTATTGTATCAATTTGTCATAATTTATTTAACATCCTCTCACTCTTTGCTATAAAAATAAGACTATAATAAATTGTGCATACTTTTTGCTGTTTCCAAGATAAATTACTGTAGGTGGAATCACTGGGTCATAGGGTAACAGGTTAGTTTTTGACAGATGGTATCAACTCTTCGAGGGATGACTTTTGCTTTTCAGGGGTCCTAACTGCTTTCCCCTTCTCAATTACCTGCACAGCCCTCAGCAAACTGTCCTGCAGAGCCTGGTTCTTTACCATGTTAGTAATTAGGAACGTGACATCCCTGATGTACATCTGCCTCACTTTAGCAGTATAGTGTTCTGCCTTGTTACCACGTGCAATAAAGAAGGTACAAAGTGCTGTGATGTCTCCTTCTTGCAGCCCACACTCCTCCAGTATGGACTCCCATACAACTCTAACGCGCTTGTTCTTAACTTTTCTTCTGAGTACAGAGGCTAAGGTTGGAAGACCTCTCACCAGGTCTGGCAGCTTCTCAAGCACACGAGTATGCAAGCAGATAAGTACTTCAATGACGTAGCTGTATAAAATATTCAATTCCATTGAAGTGAGCCTACAAAAAATATGGAGAGCTTCTTAAGCGGTCAAAAATATTTTATATAGAAACAGAAAATGAATTCTTTTAGGATAACTCAATATGAACCCACTAGGAGAACCAGCTGTTGTAATTTAGAAAATATTTACTTTAGAATTTAAATTCAAATTCAAATACTTACATTTTATTTTTTTTTAAGAGACAGGGTCTCACTTTGTTGCCCAGGCTGTTCTCAAACTCCTGAGCTCAAGTGATCCTGTCGCCTCGGCTTCCCAGAGTGCTGGGATTAAAGGCGTGAGCCATCATGCCCAGCCAGTACTCACTTTAGAATTAATGCAGATAGGCTGGGCGTGGTGCTCACGCCTGTAATCCCAGCACTGTGGGAGGACGAGGTGGTTGGATCACCTGAGGTCAGGAGTTTGAGACCAGCCTGGCCAACATGGTGAAACCCCGTCTCTACTAAAAATACAAAAATTAGCTGGGCATGGTGGCGGGCGCCTGTAATCCCAGCTACTCGGGAGGCTGAGGCAGGAGAATGGCGTGAACCCAGGAAGTGGAGCTTGCAGGGAGCCAAGATTGCCCCACTGCACTCCAGCCTGGGTGACAGAGTGAGACTCCATCTCAAAAAAAAAAAAAAAAAGAAAAAAAAATTAATGCAAATAAGGCTTTGGCAAGCAAGAGACTTTGTGATGAGATGTGTACTATAGTGCCTGGCATATAAAGAGATGCTCAAATTAATCTTTTTTTTTTCTTTGAGACGGAGTCTCGCTTTGTCACCCAGGCTGGAGTGCAGTGGTGAGATCTCGGCTCACTGCAAGCTCCGCCTCCCGGGTTCACGCCATTCTCCTGCCTCAGCCTCCCGAGTAGTTGGGACTACAGGTGCCTGCCACCACACCCGGCTAATTTTTTTTTTTTTTTTTTTTTGTATTTTTAGTAGAGGCAGGGTTTCACTGTGTCAGCCAGGGTGGTCTCGATCTCCTGACCTCGTGATCCGCCCGCCTCGGCCTCCCAAAGTGCTGGGATTACAGGTGTGAGCCACTGTGCCCGGCCAAATTAATCTTTTTTTAAAAAAATAAATGAACCTAAGAAAATGTAATTGCTTTACAATCCATTGTGGGAAACATACTAAGAAATTCAATTTTGCAATGACCAGTGGAAGCTCTCACAAAGCCACAGAATCCCACTGATTTCTCAATTGATACTCACTGGAGTGCCCGAACTGCTGTCCACATCTCATCTTGGGCTGCTTGGCTTGCCAAAGCCTTACTATGATGTTCGAATTTCTGCATCAGGTTATCCTTGGTGAAGTCTAGTTCTTTGAACTGTGTTTCTAACGCTTGGAGTTTGTGGTCTACTCTGTAGGATAACAGAATCAAGGGTTAGTTTAGGTTACAGGACAAAACTAAGGTTTTGATTTAAGCTGAGGCTCTAATACATTATTTACAACCATTACCAAATTTGGATAACTTTTTTTTTTTTACTTTTACTTTAAACTATGAAGGGAAAATGGGTAGCTATTTGAATTTGAAAGTTTCAACAAATGGCTCCATTTGCCATTCCCTCTAGCCATCATCCTTGTCCTTTCATTCCATATATTGCAAACTTTTGAATTGTCTAATTATTTGAATTGCCTGTCGTGTCTTGTTTTTGTATTATACCTTATACTTTATGTATTTATTTATTTTCTAATACAGAGTCTCACTCTGTCACCCAAACCGGAGTGCAGTGGCACAATCACTACCTCCCAGGCTCAAGTGATCTTCCCACCTCAGCCTCCCGAGTAGCTAGGACTACAGTTGTGTGCCACCATACCTGGCTAATTTTTAAAAAATATTTTTTGTAGAGACCAGGTATTGCTATGTTTGGCTGGTCTTCAACACCTGGGCTCCAGTGATCCACCTGTCTTAGCCTCCCAAAGTACTGGGATTACAGCCATGAGCCACCATGCCCGGGCTATACCTTACGATTTAGAGAATATTTTATGTAAGCATTACTTTGGTGTTCACAGCAACCATAAAAAGTAAAGCAGTCATTTTTACTATTTTACTATTAAAGAAATTGAGTCTCAAGAGGATTGAGACCTAATGTCATAAAGTTAGCTAGTGCTGAGACCAGTATATAATCTGGATCTCCTCGGCAGGAAAGTCAAGGGCCTTCACCCTTTGCTCCTATCTTCCGCCAGTCCCCTCACCCATCCTAGTCACCAATTACATGAGACATCTAGTTGCTGCTTGAATACATTATGTGGTTCCAAGCTTACATATGGCTTATACCCTATTTTCTACCCGATTCTAATTGTCCAACTCTTATCCTTTCTTCCAGAATCAGCTCAAATCCACTGCCTTTTTGAATCCCCATCTACCTGGTGATCTCCTTGCCCCCCTGCGTCTCGCTTACAAGCACTGCCTCTGTGGACCCATCTCCCGCCTCCTGCTTTACTATTAGGGTTAGCCTTTCATGAACTAAACTACGTTCTTGGAGGGAAGGAATCAGAGACTATTTCTTAGATACCTTTATGTCTGTCCCCCAATACCCAGCAAAGGTCTTGCACAGTAATAAAAGTTTCCCTGTATGATTGACATCTTTGATGAGAATGAAATGCTGAGTTCTGTAACCCAAAATGGGGATTTGAGTAGCTCCGAACAGCCATGATCATCAGAGGCTGCTGTGGCACCAGCATTATGTCTAATTAACCACAAAGACTGGAGCAACACAATTCACTTGCCTGAGCCACCTAGATTGTCCTTATGAGGGAAACTTGCCTGGGCCACCTAGATTGTCATTATGAGGGAAATTTGCCTGGGCCACCTAGATTGTCTTTATGAGGGAAACTTGCCTGAGCCACCTAGATTGTCCTTATGAGGGAAACCTGCCTGGGCCACCTAGATTGTCTTTATGAGGGAAACTTGCCTGAGCCACCTAGATTGTCCTTATGAGGGAAACCTGCCTGGGCCACCTAGATTGTCCTTATGAGGGAAACTTGCCTGGGCCACCTAGATTGTCTTTATGAGGGAAACTTGCCTGCGCCAAGTAGATTGTTGTTATGAGGGAAACCTGCCTGGGCCACCTAGATTGTCCTTATGAGGGAAACCTGCCTGGGCCACCTAGATTGTCCTTATGAGGGAAACCTGCCTGAGCCACCTAGATTCTCATTATGAGGGAAACCTGCCTGGGCCACCTAGATTGTCCTTATGAGGGAAACCTGCCTGGGCCACCTAGATTGTCCTTATGAGGGAAACCTGCCTGGGCCACCTAGATTGTCCTTATGAGGGAAACCTGCCTGGGCCACCTAGATTGTCCTTATGAGGGAAACCTGCCTGGGCCGCCTAGATTGTCCTTATGAGGGAAACCTGCCTGGGCCGCCTAGATTGTCCTTATGAGGGAAACCTGCCTGGGCCGCCTAGATTGTCCTTATGAGGGAAACCTGCCTGGGCCGCCTAGATTGTCCTTATGAGGGAAACCTGCCTGGGCCGCCTAGATTGTCGTTATGAGGGAAACCTGCCTGGGCCGCCTAGATTGTTGTTATGAGGGAAACCTGCCTGGGCTGCCTAGATTGTCTTTATGAGGGAAACTTGCCTGCGCCAAGTAGATTGTTGTTATGAGGGAAACCTGCCTGGGCCACCTAGATTGTCCTTATGAGGGAAACTTGCCTGAGCCACCTAGATTGTTGTTATGAGGGAAACCTGCCTCGGCCACCTACATTGTCCTTATGAGGGAAACTTGCCTGGGCTGCCTAGATTGTCCTTATGAGGGAAACCTGCCTGGGCCACCTAGATTGTCGTTATGAGGGAAACCTGCCTGAGCCACCTAGATTGTGGTTATGAGGGAAACTTGCCTGAGCCATGTAGATTGTGGTTATGAGGGAAACTTGCCTGGGCCGCCTAGATTGTGGTTATGAGAGAAACTTGCCTGGGCCGCCTAGATTGTCGTTATGAGGGAAACTTGCCTGGGCCAAGTAGATTGTTGTTATGAGGGAAACATGCCTGGGCCACCTAGATTGTCGTTATGAGGGAAGTGATGCGTCAACACACATGCTACTTCTCTGAGCTTCCGTATCTCCAGTGACCTGAATACCTTTGTGACTGCCCAGCATTCTATGCTTGATCATCTTTTATTCTTGGTCCTAAATTTCTCCCTAGGCTAATTCACCTTCAGGTACTACATCTCTCCTAAGCTTTAAACCTGTATTTCCTTTCTTTTTTTTTTTTTTTTTTTTTGAGATGGAGTCTTGCTCTGTCGCCAGGCTGGAGTACAGTGGCACGATCCTGGCTCACTGCAACCTCTGTCTCCCAGGTTCAAGTGATTCTCCTGCCTCAGTCTCCCGAGTAGCTGGGATTACAGGCGCCACCACATCCGGCTAATTTTTGTATTTTTAGTAGAGATGGGGTTTCACCATGTTGGCCAGGCTGGTCTCGAACTCCTGACCTCAGGCGATCCGCCCACCTCGGCCTCCCAAAGTTCTGGGATTACAGGCGTGAGCCACCGCACCCGGCCTAGAGATGTATTTTCAATATGTTTTGTGCATCTCCACAAAGATGGAGATGTCAAACTCAACTCTCCTAAGCTTAACCTACTAATACCTCCCCCATCTTCAGAAATTACTATGAAGAAATGTTGTCACTGCTTTACACATAGATAAGACTCAGTATAAAATGTTCATTTTGTAGGAATAGAAGCCTGTGTGACCTGATATGCCTGTAATTTCTGTCTACAAGTCAAAACCATGTGATTTGAGCTAGGTGCAGTGGCTCACAACTGTAATCACAGCAGTTTGGGAGGCCAAGGTGGGTGGATCACTTGAGTCCAGGAGTTTGAGACCAGCTTGGGCAACATAGTGAGACCTCATCTCTACAAAAAATAAAAAATTAGCCTAGTGTGGTGGTGTGCACACTTGTGGTCCCAGCTACTGGGGAAGCTGAGGTATGAGAATTGCTTCAGCCCAGGAGTTCAAAGCTGCAGTGAGCTGTGATCATGCCACTGCACTCAGCTTGAGCAACACAGCAAGACCCTGTGTCAAAAAAAAAAAAAGAAAGTTGGCCGGGTGCAGTGGCTCACGCCTGTAATCCCAGCCATTTGGGAGGCCAAGGCAGGTGGATCATGAGGTCAAGAGATCGAGACCATCCTGGCCAACATGGTAAAACCCCTTCTTTACTAAAAATACAAAAATTAGCCGGGTGTGGTGATGCACACCTGTAGTCCCAGTTACTCAGGAGGCTGAGGCAGGAGAATCACTTGAACCTGGGAGGCGGAGGTTGCAGTGAGCTGAAATCGCGCCACTGCACTCCAGCCTGGTGACAGAGTGAGACTCTGTCTCAAAAAAAAAAAAAAAAAAAAAGCCATTTGGCATACTATTTTGTGTTAACTTTTAGACCTTTAAGACTATATTGCTTATAGGTCATCTGTAGTTTGAAACTTAGGGAAGAAGTCTAGCTTGTCAATCAGTATAAAAATTTACAGTTGCAGCAGTTCTTTGGAATCCTCTCACCAAAGGACAGTCCGAGGCCGTTCCAGATAAATCTCAACCAACATGCAAATCTCAGCGCAGGCTGTTTTGTTTTGTTTTAGTACAGTTCCCTAGTTTCGTTAATGACCTCACCATCCAATCAATTGCTTGAACTAGAAATCTCAGAATAATTCTCAACTTTTTTCTTCCCCTGATTTATGTCTCTCTAACCCATTCCTGCCTCTCCATCTCCATCAAATGAGTTTCTCATCATCTTTCACTAGGACCCAAGATTACCGTAGCCTAACTGGACCCCCGTTTTCCATTTCCCATCCATCCTCCAGACACATTCTTCTAAAACACAATTCCGATTCTGTGACTCAACTGATTACAAATGGTTTATGTCATCCTGGCTTGCCCAGTGATATACTCAGAGGCAAACTGGATCTCCTCAGCAGGAAAGTCAAGGGCCTTCACCCTTTGCTCCTGTCTTCCACCAGTCCCCTCACCCATCCTAGTTACCAATTACACGAGACATCTAGTTGCTGCTTGAATACATTATGTGGTTCCAAGCTTACATATGGCTTATATGCACTGTTTCCTCAGCCTAGAATGCCTTCCCATATTTTTCTCCCTCATAAGCTCCTACTTGCACTTTAAGATCCAGCTTAAATGACCCTATATGAAGAGTTCCTTTTTCTAGTGTCAAAGGCAAAATTGGTTGATCCTCCCTTCATGTTCGCATAGACCTTTAGGAACATCACCATTGTAAGGTCAGTCACATTAAATTGTAAATGTTTTTCAAACTTTTCTCTTTCCTACAGGCTGTGAGCTCCTTGAGGGCAGAAACCACATTTTACTTATTTTTGTAAATCTAGGATTTAGCATATGCATACATTCAATGGAGTTACAGCACCTGGGAGCAGACTTTTCTTTATTGTTAATTTACATAGGTTTGGGCCTGGAAGACTTAAACCACTGTAATAGAGACGGAATTCTTTTTTTGGACGGAGTCTTGCTCTGTTGCCAGGCTGGAGTGCAGTGGCACGATCTCGGCTCACTGCAACCTCCACCTCCCGGGTTCAAGTGATTCTCCTGCCTCAGCCTCCCAAGTAGCTGGGACTACAGGCGCCCGCCACCATGCCTGGGTAATTTTTGTATTTTTAGTAGAGGCAGGGTTTCACCATGTTCGCCAGGCTGGTCTCAATCTCTTGACCCTGTGATCCGCCCACCTCGGCCTCCCAGTGTGCTGGGATTACAGGTGTGAGCCACCGCACCGGCCACAGAGACAGAATTCTAATGAGCATGTCTGCAGTTCTTTATTTCTATTCTTCATTCTTCTCTTACCCATCTTCCCAGAATAGCAGACCCATGCTTGCTCCCTCCCTATAGCCCTCAGCAACCTTTTCATTGCCTCCTTCAAGGATATCAGGGTTGTGGTTTCATTGTTCATCTTCTGAAGGCAAAAGGAAAGAAAACAAAAACAAAGCAAAACAAAAAAAGCAATAAATGTTTGAATCCAGAATTTTCTGCGGTCTTCCTCTCAGCAACAGGCAGCAGTAGCAGGAGCGCTCAGTCTACATTCTGCCTGAAAGGTCACTCAGTACAAGAAGCTTTTAATAGCCTGCAGATCCAAATATAGTTTCAAAGAACTTATCTCGTGGACACAGGTGTCCTGGAATGCACTATAACATTTGCCTTTGAAAACTGAACCATAGTACATTAACATACAGCAACAACCATGTATAATTAATGACTGTGTACATTATGGTAAATGTATATACAGATACATTAACGTAACGTATAGGATTAAGTTTGATGGAAATATTACTGTCATATTTTAACTGCTTCATTATTCAATTACAACCTAAATTAGGTTTGAAGAGTGCCCCAGATCTTTTATGATGATGATATCAAAGCAAAAAATCTAACTATCATTAGAAACTACTAAATACTTGTTATGGCTGGGTATGGTGGCTCACTCCTGTAATCCCAGCACTTGGGGAAGCCAAGGTGGGAGGATTGCTTGAGCCCAGGAATTCAAGACCAGCCTGGGCCACAGAGCGAGACTGTCTCCACAAAAAATACAAAAATTAGCCAGGAGTGGTGGTGCATGCCTGTAGTCCCAGCTACTCAAGAGGCTGAAGTGGGAGGACTGCTTGAGCCCAGGAGTTCGAAGCTGCAGTGAGCTATGATCATGCCACTGCACTCCAGCCCGGGCAAGAGGATAGGATATATATATATATATATATATATATATATATATATATATATAATTATATATAAAATTATACATATAATTATATATAATATATAATTTATATCGTATATAAAATATATATATAATTTTATATAATTATATATATATTAGATTAGGAATTGAATATAAATGTGGAAATAAAATAGGACTGCTGTTTTCATGAGATTTAAAATCTAGTTGGGAAGAAAGAATATATCCTTAAATAGAAAATGTATATGGGATGTGTGCTAAGTAGATAGAGACCATAAAAATAATAGAAGGTGAGAGACTAAGTCACTGAAATCTTGGGTCCTTGGGGAGATATTCACCCTGAAGGTGGTACTTGGCTTGGCCTTAAAGGTCAAGGTCTTTGATTATCAGAGAAGAGTGTTAAGGGTGTTACGAACTGGAGAAATTGTGTGAGCAAAATCACAGAGGTGGCAAAGTAAATGATGTGTTCAGGAAACAATGAGTAGGTATGTTTTGAGCAAAAGATTCATATAAGAAAAAGAAAATAACCACACCATTTAAACTGGTAAGAGCCATGTCACGTATTTGTTCTTTCACTGAATACTTTATTCACTTATTCAATATTTACTGAGCATCATAGATATTAATTGAATGTATAAAACCTACGAATGGATGAGCAGCACTATTCCAGGCACTGGTAATATAGTGATAAGTAAGGCGAAATCCTTGTCCTCAAGGAACATACTAGCAGGGAGACAGCACATAAGGCTTATAAGAGAGGGGATGCTTCTAGCTAGCTTGGTAAGGAGTTTGGACAGATGTGAGCTGTTGGTTCTAGAAGATTAATCTAGGCTCAGGTGCAGTGGCTCTCACCTGTAATCCCAACATTTTGGGAGGCTGAGGTGGGTAGATCACTTGAGGTCAGGAATTCGAGACCAGCTTGGCCAACATGGCAAAAACCCATCTCTACTAAAAATACAAAAATTAGCTGGGCATGGTGGCACACACCTGTAGTCCCAGCTACTTGGGAGTCTGAGATAGGAGAATCGCTCAAACCCGGGAGGTGGAGGTTGCAGTGAGCAGAAATAGCAATTGCGCCACTGCACTCCAGCCTGGGTGACACAGCGAGACTCCATCGCAAAAAAAAAAAAAAAAAAAAAAAAAAAAAGATTAATCTAGCAGTGATATTGTAGTATAATATGAAATATATTTGGTCTTCGTCCCCATTTCAGCCACAAAGCTCCTAAAACCCTTGGAATTTCCTGAGTGATAGGAGTGTCTTTTTTTATTCATAATGAGCCCCTTTTGATCACATGTGAGTTTATGCTAATGAGGTGATTTAGGGTGGTGCAACTAGAATAGCCTCCAGATGGGGCTGGTCACTAGAAAGACCAGGTGATTCTAAGTTGGAACTTTCAGCCCCCACCCACCAACCTCTAGGAAATGAAATGAGTGAGCTGGAGATTAAGTTCCATAAAAATTCTTGGACAATGAGGTTTGATGAGCTTCTGGGTTGCCAAATATAAGGAAGCGCTGGTGGGATGGTGCTGGGGAGAGGGTGTGGAAGCTCTACAGCACCCTCCACCATATCTTCCTCTATGCATCTCTAACAGCACCCCCCCATACCTTTCCCTATACATATCTAACAGCACCCCCCTGTGCCTTCCCCTATGCATCACTAAAACTGCCTGTTCATCTGAATTCTATTTATTTTATTTTCTTGAGATGGACTCTCACTCTGTTGCCCAGGCTGGAGTGCAGTGGCATGATCTGGGCTCACTGCAACCTCTGCCTCCCAGGTTCAAGCAGGTCTCCTGCCTCAGCTCCCCTAGTAGCTGGGATTCCAGGTGTGTGCCACCACTATTACAGGAGTTATTAAAAAATTATTTTAGTCAGCTAGAAAGGGTAAAAGAGTCCTCAGTAATGCTTTTTATTTTAATAAAAAAGCAGCCCCCGCAAACATTTCTTTTCTAACAGAAAGTGGCTGGAAAAACCAGACCTGCAAGCATTGATTTGCAAGTCACAGGCTTACATATGTAAATGCTGGTGGCTAAGAGCCAGGTTCACCCAATATGGCAGTTCCTGCTGCTTTTTCTTTGTTGCCACATGTGCAGATATCATGGCAGCCAGCCAGGTAGAAGTAACATGTACAGGCATCATGGCAACCAGCCAGGTAGCTGCATTTGCATAATAAAAGGCTAGGGTGGGAGGGCCAGTTTTTTTGTGGGCTACGTGAATGCCACACCTGGTCAAACCAATCCCTTGGGCTCTATGCAAATCAGATGCCACCTCCTCAAGCCTCCTGACATAACCAACTGCTTTCTGCTAAAGGGGGTTATTCCATTTGGAGCCCTCCTCCCATTGTACAGGGGAGCTGTTCTCTTCCTTCTTGCCTACTAAACTTTCCACTCCTTAATCCACTCTACGTGTGTCTATGTTGCTAATTTTCTCGGCATGTGACAAAGGACCCTGGATGTTTCCCCAGACAATGGAGCCATATCACGATGCTCAGCTAGTTTTTGTATTTTTAGTAGAGACGGGGTTTCGCCATGTTGGCCAGGCTGGTCTCTAACTCCTGACCTCAAGTGATCCACCTGCCTCAGCCTCCCAAAGTGCTGGAGACAAAGGACCCTGGCACAAGACAAAGGACCCTGGGTGTTTCCCTAGACAACGTAGCCATGTCATTTTTGGGGGCTCATCCGGAATCCCAAGGTACAACATTCAATGGAGCAGTGAGTAGAGGAGCGGACTCAAAATCTGTCCTTTCATTCCAAGGCTCTTGGTCTCCATTTTAAAATCTAATCAAATCAATAACAAGCATCCATCAGCCAGTTAAAGACACGGTTAGTGTGGCTGCCATTCTTAGAGACTTGGATGTCAGGCTTACTGGGGAGAACATGGAGACCCCCCCAATACCCATGGGTCACTGGGCACGTTGGCCATGCTTCAAATCAGCTTCCTTTCAACAAGGAAACCTAACCATCCCGTGAGGCCAGGAAAAGTTCTTAAGCAATTGAGAATTTCTGGCCAGTGCACACCCTTGTGTTATTCAAATGCTTCTGGACTGGACTCAGCCTCCAATAGCCTGCCCAGGTGTTGGTAAAGGGTCCCCAGCTAGCCTGTTGCAAAATTTCCCTTCTTTTTCTATCTGCGATCACTATGTCTCTTATTTTCTCTGTGTGTCAAATGTGAGGGAATTTTTGCAGCCCAGGGAAGTAATCCTGTTGGGGAAGATCAGGAAATGCTGTAGTAACCATGGATGTAGTTCAGGATCTTGTGATCTTTTAGGAACAGAGGGCCTCCCCTTTCCCACACAGTGAGGTCACTCGCTACTAGTCCTCGTGCGAGCACGTGGTATATTTAAGCCAACAGCGCCACCTCGTGGAAATAGAAATCCCCTCTGTAAGACACGTTGGTCCACTGTAGCTTCCCAATTTTTCCATTTTGCAGCTTTCTTTATGCTGCTTCTGTGAATAGGAAAATTCTGCCCCAACAATTAGGAGTAAAATGTCCTCTGCAGCCAAATTTTAGTCCTGATACTGTCCCATCGGCAGGAAAATCGCCATTAGGTCCTTAAGTCCCTTTAAGGCACCTATTCTGTCTCCAATTAAAACAGTACTTAATTAGTAAGGGGATTTTAAGTCTGGAAGTTAACCTGAACCATTTTCTAAGGGTAAATGCCCTAGTGCGGGCCATAATAGTAGCCAATCCAGCACATTCCCTCCGTTAAAGAAGCCTTGCCTTTTACATAGTTTTTCCCAAGATCCATTTTCCAGGGAGGCACACAGATCACACAAGTCTAGGAAATAAAAGGGGAACCACATGCAGAGAACTAGGATAGCATGGGTAGGCATGACTAATCCCATCTTCTAGTTTCTCTGGTTCCATGGCTTGGAGAGTCACACCTACAACCACGGGCGGCACATTTAACAAGGTGCCAGGACCCAGGAACCAAGGAGGGAAAACAGTCGGGGGGGACGCTCCCACTGTCTTCTTCTCCACCCTGGGTCACACACCAAAAGGAAGGAGACTAAATGGATGGCTTTTTCTCACTTCTCTTTCTAGATGGGAAACAGACCATCTACGACCTGCACTCCTCTCAAGTGCATTCTAAAACGCTGGGACTTCTTCAACCTTGAGACTTTGAAGAAAAAGCACCTCATGTTATATTGCACAAGGGCATGGCCTTCTTACCATCCTGGGGACAGACAAACCCGCTGGAGGGAGCCTTGCTTTTAATATTATCCAAAAATTCGATCTTTTCTGCAGACAGAAGGGCAAATGGTCTGAGGTCCCCTATGTACAGGCTTTCTCTGCCCTGTGAGACAACCCAGATCTTTACAAGTTTTGTACAATGGACTCAGTTCTTTTAGCAGCCATGGCAGGCAAGCCCATAGGTAATAATTCCCCAGAGCTAAAGCAGATTCCAGAGGAGCAATCTGAGACAGCTATTGAATGTCCCAACCCTTCTAGTCCCCCTCATCCAGAACCCCCTCCAATCATGCCATCAGCTCCTCCAGCTCCACCATCTTCAATATCACCCACTTTGCCCACTTCGCTCTTACCTCTGCAGGAAATGCCTGATGGAAATGGTGCTATGAAGCTTCATGTTCCCTTCTCATTACAGGATCTTAAGCAAATAAAGGGAGACAAGCCGATTTTCTGACGACCCCGATAGATATATAGAAACTTTCCAAAATTTAACTCAGGTGTTTGATCTCACGTGTTGCTCCTAAGTCAGACTCTCACCGCTGCTGAAAAGCAGGCAGTTCTTCAGGCAGCAGAAAAATATGGAGATGTGTGGGTGAAGGATTACCTAGGTGCTGAGACAAGAGACTGAAGGCACAAACTGTTTCAGTATAATAAAGAAAATAGTTAGAATAAGAATAGTTATAATACAAATTAGATATAGAGATGATCATGGATATTATCAATAATTAGTATAAACATTGTTAATCATTAGCTCTTAATATTGCTCTTTGTTGTATTACTAATATAGCCAAGGAATAACTGGCAGGTATAGGGTCAGGTGCTGAAGGGACATTGTGAGAAGTGACCTAGAAAGCACGAGGTGAGCCCTCTTGTCAACGCCTGCATAAGGGCCACTTGAGGGGTCCTGGGTCAAGCGGTAATGCCAGTGCCTGGGAAGGCACCCATTACTTAGCAGACTGCAAAAAGGAGTCTCTCTTTCCTTGGAGGAGTCAGGGAACACTCTGCTCCACCAGCTTCTTGTGGGAGGCTGGATATTATCCAGGCCTGCCTGCAGTCATACAGAGGCCTAAACCCCTCACTGTGGTGCTGTGCTTCAATAGTCATGCTCCTTGTCCACTTTCATGTTCCTCCCGTACTCCGGGTTCCTCTTTGAAGTTTGTAGCAGATAGTGGTAGAAGAAAGAGTGAAAGTCTTAAAATCTTTGATCTGTCTTATAAGTGCACAGATGAAAACACTGACGTTTGCTGCCTTCTCTCTCTGCTTCGGCTACCTAAAAGGGAAGGGCCCCCTGTCCCATGATCACGTGACTTGCTTGACCTTATCAATCACTTGGACGACTCACCCTCCTTACCCTGCTCCCTTGTCTTGTATGCAATAAATATCAGCATGCCCAATCATTTGAGGCCACTACGGGTCTTTGCGTCTTGGCGGTAGTGGTCCCCCGGGCCCAGCTGTTTTCTCTTTATCTCTTTGTCTTGTGTCTTTATTTCTTACTATCTTTCGTCTCCGTACATGGGGAGAATACCTGCTAAGCCCTGTGGGGTTGGACCCTACAGAGATAAGCAACATGTCTCCTATAGCAGACCAAAGAGAGAAAAAGGAAATAGGGAAGGTGAACTAAAAATGGAAACTCCATTCCCACTAGGAAGAGAAGCAGTTCTGGCAGACAACCCTCATGGGAACCACAATAGCTCCGTCGATGAATGGAAAACGAAGCACTTTTAATGTGCATATTAGAGGCCTAAAAAAACCAGAGCCAAACCTCTTAATTACTGTAAACTATCTACGATAGACCAAAAACCAGATGAGAATCCCACAGCCTTTATGGAAAGGCTGAGAGAGACACTAACAAAACACACCTCTTTATCCCCTGATTTAGCTGAGGGACAGCTCATCCTGAAGGACAAGTTTATCACACAGGCATCTCCAGATATTAGAAGGAAACTACAGAAGCAATCTATAGGACCAAATAGCACCCAGGAAAACCTCCTGAATATAGCCACTTTGGTCTTTGATAATAGGGATCAGGAGGAGGCCCAAGAAAAAGAGAGGAAGCACAAGAGAAGGACAGAGGCTCTAGTGGCAGCATTGCAAGCTTGCAAAGTCCAGGATCCCCATGGTGCATCCACTAGCTGTTACTGATGTGGCAAGTCAGGGCATTTTAAGAAGGAATGCCCAAACAGCAAGAAGAAGCCAGCTCAACCCTGTCCAGTCTGTGATGGAGACCACTGGAGATTGAACTGCTCCCAGAGATGGAGGTCACTAGGTTCAGAACCAGTCTCACTGATGGTCCAGCAGGACTGATGAGTCCCAGGGCTCAACCCCCTGCTCCAGCAGCTCAAACTGCCATTACAGCACAGGAGCTCCAGGTGTTTCTGGAAATTGAAGGAAGGTAGATCTCCTTCTGGATACTGGAGGCAGGCTCTCTCTTCTCTCTAATCCAGGTCTCCCCTCTTCCCATAGCACAACTGTAAGGGGTGTCTCAGGAAAAACTCTAATCCGATATTTTTCTTCACCCCTAGCTGCAGATGGAGGGGACCTATTATTTACACATGCCTTTTTACTCATGCTTGAAAGTCCCATTCCTTTATCAGGTAGAGATATTCTAGCTCGCAGGGGGGCCGGCATCCTTACAGCCCCAGGACAAACTCTTTGTCTCCCCCTGGTGGAAGCTAACATTAATCCAGAAGTGTGGGCTACTCCAGAAAGAAGAGGTTGAGCTATAATCTCTAGGCCAGTCCAGATTCATCTTAAGGATCCCACTTATTTTCCTTTCTTTCTTTCTCCTTTTTTTTCTTTCTTTTTGAGATGGAGTCTTGCTTTCTCACCCAGGCTGGACTGCAGTGGGGTGATCTCAGCTCCCCACAACCTCCGCCTCCAGAGTTCAAGTGATTCTCCTGCCTCAGCCTCCTGAGTAGCTGGGATTATAGGCATGTGCCACCACGCCTGGCTAATTTTTGTATTTTTAGTAGAGACGGGGTTTCACCATGTTGGCCAGGCCAGTCTGGAGCTTCTGACCTCAGGTGATCCACCTGTCTTGGCCTCCCGAAGTACTGGGATTACAGGTGTGAGCCACCACGCCTAGTCAGGATCCCATTTTTTTTTCCTAATCAGAGACTATATCCCCTAAATCCAGAGGCTAGGAAAGGGCTAGCAGCCATTATCGATAACCTAAAGATGCAGGGCCTCCTCAAACCCTGTAATAGCCCCTGCAACGCCCCAATATTAGGAGTGCAAAACCTCAATAAGGAATGGAGACTAGTTCAGGACCTCTGCCTCATTAATGAAGCTGTCGTTCCAATCCATCCAATGGTACCTAATCCCTTTACACTGTTAACTCAAATACCTGAGGGAACTAAATGGTTTACAGTCCTAGGTTTAAAGGATGCCTTTTTCTGCATACCGTTACATCCTGACTCTCAATACCTGTTTGCCTTCAAAGATCCCTCCAGCCAGACCACCCAGTTAACATGGACGTTGCTGCCTCAGGGATTTTGAGATAGGCCTCATCTGTTTGGACAGGCACTGTCAAAAGATGTCTCTGAGTGTTCCCATCCTCAAATTAGGGTCTTGCAGTACGTTGATGATACTCTGCTCTGTGCCCCAACTAAGGAAGCTCCTCAGGAAGGCACTGAAGCTCTTCTTAACTTCTTAGCTAACAGAGGATATAAGGATTCAAAACCCAAGGCCCAGCTTTGCAAAACCTCGGTGAAGTACCTGGGTTTAGTGCTGTCCAAGGGAACTGGAGCATTAGGGGAAGAAATGATTCAGCCTATTTCTTCCTCCCTTCTCCCTAAAACCTCAAGCAACTAAGAGGATTTGGGGACATTACAGGATTTTGTAGACTATGGATACCTGGGTATTGTGAAATAGTCCACCTGTTATATAACCTCATAAAAGAAGCTCAGGGAGCTAAAACTCATCTTTATTTTATTTTATTTTTTTAGATGGAGTCTAGCTCTGTCACCAGGCTGTAGTGCAGTGGTGCAACCTCCACCTCCCGGGTTCAAGCAATTCTCCTGCTTCAGCCTCCGAGTAGCTGGGATTACAGGCATGCGCCACCACGCCCAGCTAATTTTTGTATTTTTAGTAGAGACGGGGTTTCACCATGTTGGCCAGGATGGTCTCGATCTCCTGACCCCGTGATCTGCCCACCTCGACCTCCCAAAATGCTGGGATTACAGGCGTGAGCCACCACGCCCGGCCTAAAACTCATCTTTTAATCTGGGAACCTGAAGCTTGAAAGGCCTTTGACCAGCTAAAACGAGCCTTGCTTAAGGCACTAGCTCTCAGCCTTCCTGTAGGGAAGACTTTCCATCTGTACGTATCAGAAAGGAAGGGAATGGCCCTGGGAGTTTTAACGTAAGCTTGACGAGCAGCTCAACAGCCAGTGGGTTACCTAAGTAGGGAACTTGATTTGGTGGCTAAAGGATGGCCAGCATGCCTTTGAGCCATTGCCTCAGTAGCCCTACTGGTCCCAGAAGCCCCCAAATTAACCCTGGGAAATGATTTAACTGTTTACACCCCACATAACATGGCAGGACTACTGTACTCTAGGGGGAGCCTTTGGCTAACAAACAGTCGACTCCTTAACTATCAGGCCCTGCTGTTAGAGGGTTCCAACATCCAATTAAAAACTTGTGCAGTGGCTCACGCCTGTAATCCCAGCACTTTAGGGGGCCGAGGTGGGTGGATCATGAGGTCAGGAGTTCAAGATCAGCCTGGCCAACATAGTGAAACCCCATCTCTACTAAATACATAAAAATTAGCCAGGCATGGTGGTGGTGCATGCCTGTAGTCCCAGCTACTCGGGAGGCTGAGGCAGGAAAATCACTTGAACCCAGGAGGTGGAGGTTGCATTGAGCTGAGATTGTGCCACTGCACTCCAGCCTGGCGACAGAGTGAGACTCCGTCTCAAAAAAAACAAAAACAAAACCAAAAACAAAAAAATTGTTCTCGCCTAAATCCAGCCACTTTCCTCCCCAAGGAAACTAGGGAACCTGAACATGACTGTGAACAAGTCCTGATACAGACCTATGCAGCCAGGGAAGATCTCAGGGAAACCGCTAGAGAACCCACACTGGACCCTCTTCACAGATGGGAGCTCTTTTGTAGAACAAGGAATCCATAAGGCAGGATATGCAGTAGTCACTCTAAATGACGTCATTGAAAGTGTGTCTCTCCGTCCAAGCACTCAATTAG
Organism: Homo sapiens; assembly: GCF_000001405.40. Taxonomy (NCBI): domain Eukaryota; kingdom Metazoa; phylum Chordata; class Mammalia; order Primates; family Hominidae; genus Homo; species Homo sapiens. Next base: position 196,525,380 of record NC_000003.12, read on the forward strand.
CTGAGCTGATAGCTCTTACTCGAGCACTAGAATTAAGCAAAGGAAAGGTAGCTAACATTTGCACTGACTCCAAGTATGCTTTCTTGGTTCTTCATGCTCATGCTGCCATCTAAGCTTTCTTTTAAATATTTTCAGTATGTCCAAGAGAAAACACCTGCTTCCGTTTATTTAGCGGTAATAACCTATATGGACTTAAAAATTTTTTTTGTACAGATGAGGTTTCACCATGTTGCCCAGGCTGGTCTTCAGACTCCCAAAGTGCTGCGATTACAGGCGTGAGCCACTGCACCCGGCCAACATTTTCTTTTTTAGAAACAGGGTCTCACTCTGTTGCCCAGGCTGGAGTGCAGTGGCATGATCACGGCATACTGCAGCCTCGACCTCGTGGGCTCAAGTGATTCTCCTTCCTTAGCCTCCCAAGTAGCTGGGACTACAGGTATGCACCACCACGCCCAGCTAATTTTTTTTTGTTTTAATTTTTATGTACAGACAGGCATCTTACTATGTTGTCCTGGCTGGTCTCCAATTCCTGGGCTCAAGTGATTCACCCGCCTTGGCCTCCCAAAGTGTTGGGATTACAGACATGAGCCACCACACCTGGGTTATTGTTGGATTTACTGAAGAAAAGGGGCAGGAGAAAAAAGTTAAATTACGACAAATCTCTAGGTCAATTAGAAGCCATATCTCTGGGATATTTTAAAAAATCAGTCTTACCGCTTCCGACTCTAAAAGTTAATGCCATTAGTAACAACAGCAGGAAAAATAAACCTGATAAAAACCAGCCCATTCATTTTAGCAAAAAAGCAGTTTAACTCAAAATACTTAGACCAAAGTATAACACTACGTACCCAAGGTGCCCCACCCACCAGCAAGAAGAGAAGAAATAATTGCTTTAAAAATCAAAATATGCGGCCAGGCGCCGTGGCTCACCCCTGTAGTCTCAGCACTTTGGGAGGCCAAGGCAGGCAGATTACCTGAGGTCGGGAGTTCAAGACTAGCCTGGCCAACATGGTGAAACCCTCTTTCTACTAAAAACACAAAAATTAGCCGGGCGTGGTGGCGCGTGCCTGTAGTCCCAGCTACCTCGGGAGGCTAAGGCAGGAGAATCGCCTAAACTCAGGAGACGGAGCTTGCAATGAGCCGAGATCCGCCACTGCACTCCAGCCTGGGCGACAGAGCAAGACTCTGTCTCCAAAATAATAATAATAATAATAAATATGCTCAGCATTTCTTCCAGAGATAGCAACGGTGCTACTCCTGAGAGTGCTCGGAAGGACTAAAGCTGGAGTGAAGATAATGTCTAGGGATTGGTATCCCACAAAGGCTTTCAAAGCCCAAGGTACCACAAGCACACTAAACTCGTCTATGAATTAGAAAACAAGATATCACTGCTGCTTCTTTCTGTCTTTTGAAATGTACAATATTTTGTAGGCTCTGCCCTTCGATGTGAAAGCAGGACTAAGAAAAAACAACTAAGAGGGCCAGGCTCGGTGGCTCACGCCTGTAATCCCAGCACTTTGGGAGGCCGAGGCAGGCGGATCATGAAGTCAAGAAATCAAGACCATCTGGCCAACATGGTGAAACCCTGTCTCTACTAAGAAAATACCAAAATTAGCCGGACGTGGTGGCAGGCGCCTGTAGTCCCAGCTACTCAGGAGGCTGAAGCAGGAGAATCATTTGAACCCAGAAGGCGGAGGTTGCAGTGAGCTGAGATCTCGCCATTGCATTCCAGCCTGGGCAACAGTGTGAGACTCCGTCTCCAAAAAAAAAAAATAGAGACAGAGTCTTGCTATGTTGCCCAGGCTGGTCTCCAACTCCAAGCTAAGAAATGTGAAATTATTTGACACCTAAATTTTTAGAACCATTTATCTTAACTGTGAAATTAAACAGATCTACCTTCTCCTGCCTTCAGTCAAACCACCTCACAAAAATAAGAGAACTGAAACAATCCAAACATGATCTTTTTTTTTTTTTTTTTTTTTTTTTTTTTTTTGAGATGGAGTCTTGCTCTGTGGCCCAGGCTGGAGTGCAGTGGCACGATCTCGGCTCACTGCAACCTCTGCCTCCCAGGTTCAAGCGATTCCCCTGTCTCAGGCTCCTGAGTAGCTTGGGACTACAGGCACACGCCACCACGCCTGGCTAATTTTTGTATTTTTAGTACAGATGGGGTTTCACCATGTTGGCCAGGCTCGTCTGGAACTCCTGACCTCAAGTGATCCACCCACCTTGGCCTCCCAAAGTGCTGGGATTACAGGAGTGAGTCACTGCGCCTGGCCCAAACATGATCATTTTTAAAGTCCTTGAAAGTATTAAAACTTTGAAAAGAAAAGAAAGAAGGAAAAACAAAAACATGGCAGTGCAGGAAAGCTTTACAAGAAAGAGGGGGTGAAAATCAATGGGCTTGTCTTTTTTTGTCAACAAGCAAGTGCAAGAAGGTTCATTTTGTGACTTGTTCAGTTGTGTTTTGCATATCTCCATTCTGATCGGAAGGGACTTTGAGGTTTTTCTGCAACTCCTGAGCATCTGCAGGCTCCATCCTCTTATCCTTTATCTGTCTTTGTCTCAGTCATCTCAAAGCCAAACTTCTGTAGAAGTCAATTGCTGACTCATTGCTGATCTGGACAAACAGATGTTGTCAAAAGTGCCATCTTGGCTGGGCAGTGGCTTATGCCTGTAATCCCAGCACTTTGGGAGGCTGAAGTAGGCAGATCCCTAGAGTACAGGAGTTCGAAACTAGCCTGGCCAATATGGTGAAACCCCGTCTCTACTAAAAACACAAAAATTAGCCAGGCGCGGTGGCTCCCATCTGTAACCCCAGCACTTTGGGAGGCCAAGGCGGGCGGATGTCCTGAGGTCGGGAGTTCAAGACCTGCCAGGCCAGCATGGTGAAACCCCGTCTCTACTAAAAATACAAAAATTAGCCGGGCGTGGTAGCACATGCCTCTAATCTCAGCTACTCGGGAGGCTGAGGCAGGAGAATCACTTGAACCCGGGAGGTGGACGTTGCAGTGAGCCGAGATCGCGCCACTGTACTCCAGCCTGGGTGACAGAGCGAGACTCCATCTCAAAAAAAAAAAAAAAAAAAAAAAAAAAAAAAAAAAAAAAAAGAAAGAGAGAGAGAGAGAGAAAGAAGGAGAAGAAAAAGGTGCCATCTTCTCCACAGATGTTTGACACGATTTAACATCTGAGTTGCTATTCCTGGCCTTGGGTAAGGTGCCGGACACCCTGGTGTGATGATGTGTCTGCGAATGATCCACCGTCCCGCCCTCGCCCCAGCTTTGCTAGCTCAGCCTCCAGCACGCCCTTGTAGGACGTGTCCCTGCAGCCGACTGAAAAGGTGGCCTGGATGGGTGTCTTCAAGTACGGAGAACTGCGGTGTCGCGCCTCCGGGCCCCATCCGGCTCCCAGCATCTTCTCCCGCTGCGGAGGCCGCATTTCCACTCAGGGCAGCGCCGCCGCGGTGGTTCCGCCCTGTCGGGCTCAGACCGGCCTGGGCGCCTCCGCGGGGAGCTGGGCGGTGGCGGGGGCCGCGGGAGTGGAGCCGGCCCGAGCCTCCAGGGGGCGCTGGCGGCCGCTTCCTCCATCCGCAGGCGGCTCCCGGCCACGCCCGTCGCTGAGCGTGAGGCGATGGCGGCCGAGCTCAGAACACTGGTCCCCGGAATGGAGAGCTGAGGGGACAGATCTAAGGGACATTTATAACTCCGCAGGGACTCCGGGGTGGGAGTCAGTCCGTCTCAGGTGCGTCTCCGGAAGAACTTCGGCGTCCTCAGGGAATCAGTCCCTGCCCCAGTGAGAAAAACCTTGCTGGGTCCTCCCTGATCCCCGCCACTACTTTTTTCTCCTTAGCAAAATCCAGATATTGTTTGAGTATTGGGCAGCCACGTGCTTCAGGGGAAGCTGAGCCCCTTCCCAGTGTGAGAGTTGGGGGTGAGTCTTAGAATAAATCAATCACAGCAATTTTATTATTATTGCCGTTATCATTGGTTTAGGAACGGACAGGTGGCAGAATTCTGGCCCATGAAATATAAGAAGAGGCCCACTGTGGAGCTTCTGAGGCCGGGCACGGTGGCTCACGCCTGTAATCCCAGCACTTTGGGAGGCTGAGGCTGGCGGATCACGAGGTCAGGAGTTCGAAACCAGCCTGGCCAACATGGTGAAACCCCCATCTCTACTAAAGATACAACAAATTAGCCGGGCGTGGTGGCGCGCACCTGTAATCCCAGCTACTCGGGAGGCTGAGGCAGGAGAATCGCTTGAACCCAGAAGGCAGAGGTTGTAGTGAGCCAAGATCGTGCCATTGCACTCCAGCCTGGGTGACAGGGCGAGACTCTGTCTCCATAAATTAATTAATTAATTAATTAATTAAGACATAGTCTTGCTACGTTGCCCAGGCTGGTCTCCAACTCCTGGGCTCAAGTGGTCCTCCCGCCTTGGCCTCCCAAAGTGCTGGGATTACAGGTGTGAGCCAGAAAAGTTTGTTTAAATTGTGCAAAAATATACATAACAAAATTTACCATTTTTATATTTTACTTACTTTTTATTTATTTCAATAGGTTTTTGGGGAACAGGTGGTGTTTGGTTTCATAAGTTCTTCAGTGGTGATTTCTGAGATTTGGTGCAGCCATCACTCGAGCAGTGTACACGGTACCCAACGTGTGGTCTTTTATCCCTCGCCCCCTTCCCACCCTTTCCCCTGAATACCCAAAGTGCATTGTATCTTTTTTTTTTTTTTTTTTTTTGTGAGATGTAGTCTCTCTGTGTCGCCCAGGCTGGAGTGCAATGGCACGATCTCGGCTCACTGCAACCTCTGCCTCCCGGGTTCAAGTGATTCTCCTGCCTTAGCCTCCTGAATAGCTGGGACTACAGGCACATGCCACCAAGCCCAGCTAATTTTTGTATTTCTAGTAGAGACGGGGTTTCACCATGTTGGGCAGGATGGTCTCGATCTCTTGACCTCATGATTCGCCTGCCTCGGCCTCCCAAAGTGCTGGGATTACAGGCTTGAGCCACCGCACCCGGTCCACTCCGTGGCTTTCTTTTCATCATCTTGATGGTGTGTTTTCATGAACTAATGTTCTTAATTTTCAAGTAGTCCAATTTATCATGTTTTCATTTTGATGTCTTATATATGAAATTTTTCCTACCCCAAGGTCATGAAAATATTTTTTTCCTTTTAGAAGCTTCACCACTTTACCTATTACATTTATATCTGTAATATGCCTAAAATTTAGACCTTTGGATTAATGTGAAGAAGGTCAAGATTCTTTTCTTCTCCATATGGATATACAACTGACTCAATCCCATTTATTATAAAGAGTTTCCTCACTGCTCTGCAGTGGACTTTTGTCATTAATCAAGTTTGCATACATGCAAGCATCTATTTCTATCCTCTATTCTGTTCCATTGGTCTGCTTATTTATTCTTGTGCCCAAATCACACTCAACCTTAATTATTTTGGCTTCATTAAAAAGTCTTAATAACATACAGTGTGAGTCCTCCAGCTATGCTCTTCAAGATTATCTGGGGTATTCTGGGCCATTTGCATTTTCATATAAAATTTTCAATAAGCTTGCTAATTTTTAGAACGCTATGAGCTGGGATATTGAGTAGAATTACATTGACATCTTCATAATATTTAGCCTTCTAATTCATGAATATGATACGTATCTTTATTTAGATTCTCTTTAATTTTCCTCGGTCGTGTTTTGTAGTTTCCTTTGTAGAGTTTTTGCATGTTTTCCATTAGATTTATTACTAGGTATTTGATGTTTCTTGATGCTGTTGTAAGTAGTGTTTAATGTTTTTCTTATTGCTGTTATAAATACGACCAATTTTTCTATATTTACCTTTTTATTCAGCAACCTTACTAAACCCATTTTTCACTTAGTCGTTCATCTGTAGATGCCCGCCCGCCCGCCTGCCTGCCTGCCCGCCCACCCGCCCGCCTGCCCGCCCGCCTGCCCGCCTGCCCGCCTGCCCGCCTTTCTTTTCTTTCGTCTTGCTCTGTCACCCAGGCTGGAGTGCAGTGGCGTGATCTCAGCTCACTGCAACCTCCACCTCCTGGGTTCAAGTGGCTCTCCTGCCTCAGCCTCCTGAGTAGCTGGTACTACCGGCACATGCCACCACACCTGACTAATTTTTGTATTTTTAGTAGAGACAGGGTTGCACCATGTTGGCCAGGCTTGTCTCAAACTCCTGACCTCAGGTGATCCACCCACCTTTTCCTCCCAAAGTGCTGGAATTACAGGCGTGAGTCACCGCATCCGTCCTTGTTCTGCAAACACAATCATGTTGTCTGTGAATGACAGTTTTAGTTCTTCCTTTCCAATTCTTATGTCTTTCATTTCTTTTTCTTGTCTTGTTGTAATGTCTACACCTTCAACAGAATGTTGAATAGAATTAATCAAGGGAATTTCATTCTATTCTCAAACTCCTGACCTCAGGCCATCTGCCTGCCTCAGCCTCCCAAAGTGCTGGGATTATAGGCTTCATTCTATTCTCTTGTTACCAACATCATGAAGAAAGTTTCAGTGTTTTACCATGTTTCTAAATTATTCATGTCTCAAAGAAGAAAATACAATGAAAATTTTAAATGTTTCATTGAAAAACAATGAAAATGTGACATAAGACAATAAGGAGGTAGCTAAAACTGTACTTTGAAGAAATTTTGTCTCAAATGCAAAATAAAAGCTGGACATATCCGTGAGATAAGTGTTCATCTCAAGGTGTTAGAAAAAGAGCAAATTAAACCTAAAGTTATTAGAATGAAGGAAATAATAAAGATTAGAGCAGGAATTCATGAAATAGAAAGAAATAAATAATAGAAAGGATTATCAAAGGCAAATATTAGTTCTTTGACCCTTGTGCACTATTGATGGGAATGTAAATTATTACGGCCATTATGAAAAACAGTATGGAGGTTTCTGAAAAAATTAAAAATAGGACTACCATATGATCCAGCAATGATATATACTAGGTGCATATCTGGAGGAAATGAACTCAGTGTGTTGAAGGGACACCTACACTCCCACATTAATTGCAGCGTTATTCATAATAGCCAAGATATGGAATCAACTTAAGGAGCCATCAACAATGTGGTATGCTAGGCATGGTGGCTCATGCCTATAATCCCAGCATTTTGGAAGGCTGAGGCAAGAGGATCACTTGTGCCCAGGAGTTTGAAACCAGGCTAGGCAACATAGTGAGACCTCATCTCTACAAAACAAAAAAAAAATTAATTTGAAAAACAATATGCTGAAAAAATGTGCTACATGCTCATCATGGATGACATTAAAAATAAGTAAATAAGCAATATGGTGTATATACACAATGGAATACTATTCAGCCTTTAAAAAGAAGGAAATTCTGTCATTTGCAACAAGATGTAAGATCCTGGACGACATTATGCTATGAGAAATAAGTCAGGCATAGGAAGACAAGTACTGCATGATCTCACTTATATGAGGAATTGAAAAAAGTGAAACTTCTAGAAGCAGGGACAGAGAGTAGAATGTTGGTTGCCAGGGTTGGTTAGGAGGCTGGGGAGATGGGAGATGTTGGCCAAAGGGTACAAACTTTCAATATAACGTGAATAAGTTCTGGAGATCTAATACACAGCACAGTGATTATAGTTAATAATACTGTATTGTATACTTGAAATTTGCTAAGAGAATAGTTCTTAAGTGTGTTCATTATTGGGGGAACCAGCCCCCAATATTTCAACGTAGGTTCTTTTCTATTTTCCCTAAGTGTCAGCTGGTCTGAGAAAAAAAGAGAAAGAGTACAAGAGAGAGAAATTTTACAGCTGGGCCTCCGGGGGTGACATCACGTGTCGGCAGGTTCTGTGATACCCACCTGAGCCGCAAAACCAGCAGGTTTTTATTAGGAATTTCAAAAGGGGAGGGGGTATGAATAGGGAGTGGGTCACAGAGATCACACGCTTCATTCAAATGGCAATAAAAGATCACAAGGGCATAAGGGCAGAGCAAGCTCACAAGGCCAGGGCGAAATTAGAATTACTGATGAGGTTTCACGTCCCACTGTGCACGCGTTGTCATTGATAAATATCTTAACAGGAAACAGGGTTCAAGAGCAGAGAACTGGTCTGACTACAATTCGCCAGGCTGGAATTTCCTAATCCTAGCAAGCCTGGGGGCGCCGCAGGAGAGCAGGGCGTTATTTCATCCCTTATCTTCAACCGCATGAGGCAGACAGCCCCAGAGCGGCCGTCCATGCCCCCCACCGGGAATGCGTTCCCTTCCCAGGGTGATTCCTTGCTGGGAAAAGAATGCAGCCATATTTCTCCTACTCGTTTTCTGCAATAAGAAAGATATGACGCTGTTCTGCCCGGCCCCGCAGGCAGTCAGACCTTATGGTTATCTCCCTTGTTCCCTGAACATCGCTGTTATCCTGTTCTTTTTCAGGGTGCCCAGATTTCATATTGTTCAAACACACGTTTTACAAACAATTTGTGCAGTTAACGCAATCATCACAGGGTCCTGAGGTGACATACATCCTCAGTTTACGAAGATGACGGGATTAAGAGATTAAAGTACAAACAGGCACAGGAAATTATGAGTCTTGACTGGGGAAGTGATACATGTCCATGAAATCTTCACAATTTATGTTCAGAGACTGCAGTAAAGACAGGCGTAAGAAATTATAAAAGTATTAATTTGGGGAACTAATAAATGTCCATGAAATCCTCACAATTTATGTTCTTCTGCCGTGGCTTCAGCTGGTCCCTCCGTTCAGGGTCCCTGAGTTCCCGCAACAATTCATCGCAAAAAAAAAAATGGTAAGAAGCTGGGCATGGTGGCGTGTGCCTGTGGTATCAACTACTTGGGAGGCTGAGGCAGGAGGATCACTTGAGCTTGGCATGGGCAACCTACCAAGACCACATATCTAAAGAAATAAAATGTCTTTTCTGGTTCCACTTGAGGGTTGCATTTTTTTAAAAGCAGACTTTTTTTGTGAGATAATGTATATGGTAGCAAGCTTGATTTGGCCACTCCACATGTAAACATATTTCAAAACATCATGTTATGTACCATAAATATATATATTTTTTGTCATTAAAAAATAAATTTAGGCGAGGCATGGTGGGTTGAGCCTGTAATCCCAGCAGTTTGGGAGGCTGAGGTTGGAGGATCACTTGAGGCCAAGAGTTTGAGACCAGTCTGGGCAACGTAGGGAGATCCCATCTCTGCAAAAAATTAAAAATTAGCCAGGTGAGGCAGTGTGCACCTGTAGTCCCAGCTACCTGAGAGGCTGAAGTAGGAGGATCACTTGAGCCCGGGAGTCTGAGGCTGCAGTGAGCTATGATTGTGCCACTGCACTTCAGCCTTGGCAATTGGGTGAGATCATCTCTCCAAATAAATAAATAAACAATTTTTAAATGGTTCTTTGAAAAGGTTATTGATACTGAAAAACTCCTGACAAGATTAATAAATAAGAGAAGTCACAGATAACCAATAACAGGATTGAAGAAGGGGACATCATTATACATGTAAACAGATGACAAAAAGCTAAGAGGATATTATAGGCTGAGTGCAGTGGCTCACGCCTGTAATCCCAGCACTTTGGGAGGACGAGGCGGGAGGATCACGAGGTCAAGGAGATCTATACCATCCTGGCTAACACGGTGAAACCCCGTCTCTACTAAAAATACAAAGAATTAGCCCGGCATGGTGGCACGCGCCTGTAATCCCAGCTACTCAGGAGGCTAAGGCAGGAGAATCGCTTGAACCCAGGAGGCAGAGGTTGCAGTGAGCCAAGATCATGCCACTGCACTCCAGTCTGGGCAACAGAGTGAGACTCTGTCTCAAACAAACAAAAAGCTAAGCTAAGTTTGATTCTTTTAATTCTGAGTAGTATTCTATAGTATGGGTGTACTGTAATTTGTTTAACCATTTACCTGTGGAAGGAATCTGGCTTATTCCAGTTTTGAGCTATCACAAATAAAGCTGCTATAAATATGTGTCCAATATTTTTCTGGAATAAATGCCCAGGAGTGCAATTGCCAGATAATATGGGTAATACGGTAGTAGCATGGTTAGTTTTGTAAGAAACTGCCAAACTGTTTTCCAGAGTAGCTGTACCACTGTGCGTTCCCACCACCAATGTAGGAGTGACTCAGTTTCTCCACATACTCACCAGCATTTAGTATTGTCACTATTTTTTATATTAACCATTCTGATAAGTGCACATATTCATTTTAAAAAATATTTCATACAGATTTTGTTAGTATTCTGGAAGGATAAGTTGATTTGCAACATGCTAAATGATACTGTAACCTATTAAACTCATTCTGTAATTGGTATTGAATCAGTTTTTTGACAGATAGGATCCAGACATCTAGATAGTTTTAATTTTATTTTTATTTTTTAATTTTTTTTTTTTTTTTTTTTTGAGACAGGGTCTTGCTCTGTTACCCAGGCTGGAGCACAGTGGCATGATCTTGGCTCACTGCAACCTCTGCTTCCTGGTTCAAGTGTTTCACCTCCCTCAGCCTCTTGAGTAGCTGGGATTACAGGCGCCAGCCACCAGGCCTGGCTAATTTTTTTACTTTTAGTACAGACAACGGGGTTTCACCATGCTGGCCAGGCTGGTCTCGAACTCCTGACCTCAAGTGATCCACCAGCCTCAGCCTCCCAAAGTGTTGGGATTACAGGCAGTAAGCCACTGTGCCCGGCCTAGATAGTTTTCAGATCAACAAAGGTGAATCTGATTTGCAACCAGGGTTATGAACCACTGGTCTCAGAAGACGTAGCTTTGAGGGAAGTGGCCACAGTCAATGATGGGAAGAGACAATGGGAATACACAGTGGGATAGTAGAGATGAATGATGTTTCATAAACATAAACAAGGATGCCATGACCCTGGGAAATAACATTTTTTGGAAAATAATTTTTAAACTTTTGAAATTATTTTTTTCTTTTTTTGAGACAGAGTCTCGCTTTGTAGCCTAGGCTGGTGTGCAGTGGCGCGATCTTGGCTCGCTGCAACCTCTGCCTCCTGGATTCAAGCGATTGTCCTGCCTCAGCCGCCTGAGTAGCTGGGATTACAGGCGTGAGCCACCACGCCCGGGGAATTTTTGTATGTTTAGAAGAGACGGGGTTCCCCTTTTACCTCGTTGCACTCCTGAGAGCAAGATGGGTCACCAGCAGCTGTACTGGAGCCACGCGCGAAAATTCGGCCAGGGTTCTCGCTCTTGTCGCGTCTGCTCAAACCGGCACGGTCTGATCCGGAAATATGGCCTCAATATGCGCCGCCAGTGTTTCCGTCAGTACGCGAAGGATGTCGGTTTCATTAAGTTGGACTAAATGATCTTCCTTCAAAGGGTTATCCAAGGCATCTACTCAATGAAAAACCATGATCATTCTTTGTACATAAAATAAACATTTGAAAAACCCAAAAAAAAAAAAAAAAAAAAGAGATGGGGTTTCACCATGTTGGCCAGGCTGGTTTTGAACTCCTGGTCTCAAGTTATCTGCCCGCCTCGTCCTCCCAAAGTGCTGGGATTACAGGCATGAGCCAATGTGCTCAGCCCTGGAAATTTAAAATAGATTGATTGTAAAGAAATCTACTTGGGCAAAAAAATTTTAAATTTGAATACTGAAATAATAATGGTTCCTTAGAGCCATAAAGTGTTTATTAACAAGAAATACAGTTGATAAAAGATATGTATGATTGCCCAACTTACATAGAAAAGAAAAAAATGGAAAAAGTTCAGGTGGTGACTAGTCAAGTTAATTGATTATTAAGGATATCAAAATCTCTGGGCGGGGCGCGGTGGCTGACGCCTGTAATCCCAGCATTTTGGGAGGCCGAGGTGGGTGGATCACCTGAGGTCAGGAGTTCGAGACCAGCCTGGTCAACATGGTAAAACCCCCGTCTCTATTAAAAATGCAACAATCAGCTGGGTGTGGTGGCGGGCGTCTGTAATCCCAGCTACTGGGGAGGCTGAGGCGGGAGAATTTCTTGAACCCGGGAGGCAGAGGTTGCGGTGAACCGAGATCGCACCACTGCACTCCAACCTGGGCGACAGAGCGAGACTCCCTCTAAAAAAAAGAAAATCAATCAATCAATCAATCAATCATCAATCGGCCCACCTAGGAAAATTGTGGATTGTGTCGCTAGGGGGCGCTGAACCTTTACAGAGCAATTCAGGAAGGGAAAATTTAAAATTCTCAGAACCCTACATATAACACCTCTCTATAAAAGACAAGGAACACCAAGCAGAAAATTAGAGTATGTTATTTTAAAAAGAGCAAATCTAAGAGTAAGACATTTAGGAGAAGGAGAAAGAGTTCTGCCCAGTGCCTCCTCTGCCTTACTCTGGTAAGAGGAAGGCAAACAGCCTTTTCCAAACAGCCCGGCCTCTCCGGTGGGTTCTGTCACATGCCAGCAAGAATCCTGACTAATACCAGAAGCGACGTGCTATTTGGAGAACTGGTGGTCATGTCACCCAAACGGCTAGTCAGAGCCAGTCAAGGCGGATAAGGTCTGAGTAGTCAAACTTGCTCACCGTCTTGTGCTCCCCACCTGGATTATGAAATCGGGATCCACCCAGTCACTGAGGCCAGAAACCTGGGCTCCATTTTCCACTCCAATATCTCTTACTGATAATTTCACTAGCTTTTCTACCTGGCTACCTTAGAATTTAGACTGAAAAATCCTTGTGCTCCATCAGAATAACTGCTTCTGCAGCAAACTGAGTTCTAACCTTTCTACCTTCTCCACATTTCCCAGTATCACCATTGACCAAGTCCTGGTCTCGAAATCCTACAGGCCCCTCAAGAGAATTTTTAGGACACTATCTACAAGTCTATGAACTCAAGCTGGAGTATTGTGTCTCCTCCTCCTCCTCCTTCTTCCTCCTCCTCCTCCTCCTCCTTCTCCTCCTCCTTCTCCGACAGGGTCTCCTTGTCTTGTCCAGGTTGGAATACAGTGGCACAGTCATAGCTCACTGCAGCCTTGAACTCCTGGGCTCAAGCGATCCTCCAGTCTCAGCCTCTCAGAGTGCTGAGATTACAGGTGTGAGACACCATACTGGGCTGAGTATTGTATATTTCTTTCTTTCTTTATTTCTTTTTTTTTTTTTTTTTTGAGACATGGTCTCATTCTGTCACCCAGGCTGGAGCGCAGTGGTGTGATCTCGGCTCACTGCAACCTCAACCTCCTGGACTCTAGTGATCCTCCCACCTCTCAGCCTCTTGAGTAGCTGAAATTAAATGCCTGGCTAATTTTTGTATTTTTGTAGAGATAGGGTTTTTGCCATGTTGTCTAGGTCGGTCTCAAACTCCTGAAGTCAAGCGATCTGCCTGCCTTGGTCTCCCAAAGTGCTAGGATTACAGGAGTGAGCCACCGTATCAAGGCTATGAGCACTGTACACCTTCTAAAAGAAAAAATTATTACACTTTCAAGATCGATTACAATTATTATACTAAAATTGTTTTTAGCATAATGCTGCTTAAATATGTCTAAACCCAATATCAGGTGTAAATTTCTTTTCTTTTTTTTTTTTTTTGAGATGGAGTCTTGCCCTGTCGCCCAGGCTGGAGTGCAGTGGCGCAATCTTGGCTCACTGCAACCTCTGCCTCTAGGGTTCAAACGATTCTCCTGCCTCAGCCTCCTGAGTAGCTGGGATTACAGGCGCCCGCCACCACGCCCAGCTAATTTTTGTATTTTTAGTAGAGACGGGGTTTCACCATGTTGGCCAGGCTGGTTTCAAACTCCTCACCCCGTGATCCGCCCACCTCAGCCTCTCAAAGTGCTGGGATTACAGGCGTGAGCCACCGCGCCCGGCCAGGTGTAAATTTCTTATGCTTATAGCTCTTATGCAACTATAAGAGCAAAACAAACCTACGTATTAAATACAAAACAAATTACAAGTAATAAAGTTAAATTGACAGCATTAACATACTATGATGGCTGATGCTGCTTTGTTGAAGCTAAGTCATCTCTCACATCATAGATTTCACAAAGCTGCTTTACAGCAGGTTCTTTTGCATTTGGCAAGTTGATACTACCTTGGGCAGAGAAATGACTCAATCATAAAATTTTTCTCTAATTGAATTACACCCATCACTTGGTTTATGCATTCTCAGTTTATAAATTTTAGATGAAAAAAATCTGAATATATATACCTGTCATTTATTTTAAAAATTTTAGATGTTGTTTGTTTTCAAACCGAAGATACTCTATGATATGTTATGGAAGATACATTCTTCCGTCACTTCTCCTACCACCGTGATGAATAGAGAACTGATGGTGGAACACTGGGGAAAGAGGTTATTGGCCCTTGTTTTGAGTGACTGTTAACTCTGGGGGGACTGTGTCTGCTGAGAAACCAGTCAAGGTGTTTCTGTTGAACACATGCCCAGTTCAAACTCTGGCTAGTCTCAAACTCCTGGGCTTAAGTCATCCTCCAGCCTCAGCCTCCTGAGTAGCTGGGACTACAGGCATGTGCCACCATGCCCAGCTTGTATTATTATTTCTTTTTTTTTGAGACGGAGTTTCACTCTTGTCACCCAGGCTGGAGTACAATGGCGTGGTCTCAGCTCATTGCAACCTTCGCCTCCCAGGTTCAAGCAATTCTCCTGCCTCAGCCTCCTGAGTAGCTGGGATTACAGGTGTGCACCACCACGCCTGGCTAATTTTTGTATTTTTAGTAGAGACAGGGTTTCATCATGTTGGCCAGGCTGGTCTCAAACTCCTGACCTCAGGTGATCCACCCACCTAGGCCTCCAAAAGTGCTGGGATTACAGGCGTGAGCAACCACACCCGGCCTGTATTACTATTTCTAACATCATAACTTCAAACGAGACAAAGAAAAGATGGAAAAAGTATTAATTTAAGTTGTGAAGCCTAATTTTAAAAATCCTTATTTTAGGCCGGGCATGGCGGCTCACATCTATAATCCCAGCACTTTTGGAGACCGAGGCGGGTGGATCATTTGAGGTCAGGAGTTCGAGATCAGCATGGTCAACATGATGAGACCGTCTCTAATAAAAATATGAAAATTTGGTGGCTCACACCTGTAATCCCAGCCCTTTGGGAGACCGAGGTGGGTGGATCACTTGAGGTCAGGAGTTCGAGACCAGCCTGGCCAACGTGCTGAAACCCCATCTCTACTAAAAATACAAAAAATTAGCCAGGCATGGTGGTGCGCGCCTGTAATCCCAGCTACTTGGAAGGCTGAGGCAGGAGAATCGCTTGAACCTGGGAGGTGGAGGTTACAGTGAGCTGAGATCGCACCATTGCACTCCAGCCTGGGCAACAAAAGTGAAACTCCATCTCGAAAAAAAAGAAAAAAGAAAAAGGCCGGGTGCGGTGGCTGATGCCTGTAATCCCAGCACTTTGGGAGGCCAAGGCGGGCGGATCATGAGGTCAGGAGATCAAGACCATCCTGGCTAACACGGTGAAACCCCGTCTCTACTAAAGATTCAAAAATTAGCTGGGCATGCTGGCGGGCGCCTGTAGTCCCAGCTACTCGGGAGGCTGAGGCAGAAGAATGGCGTGAACCCGGGAGGCAGAGCTTGCAGTAAACTGAGATCGCACCACTGCACTCCAGCCTGGGTGACAGAGTGAGACTCTGTCTCAAAAAAAAAAAAAAAAAAAAACCACACACACAACAAAAATTAGCCAGGCTGGTGGTGCGCACCTGTAATCCCAGCTACTTGGGAAGCTGAGGCAGGAGAATGGCTTGAACCTGGGAGATGGAGGTTGCAGTGAGCCGAGATAGCACCACTGCACTGGGTGACAGAGCGAGATTCTGTTTCCAAAAAAAAAAAAAAATCCTTATTTTAAGTGAAAAATTAGTAGAATTAAAGTAAATCAAGACAATATAAACATTAATGGTGGTGAAAGCTTGAAGCTCTAGTACAAGAGATTTGGGGTAGTAATAGGTCCAGAAAAAGCAGTAAGACACTTGTCTTGAAACTGCACTTTGTAGCAAGCAACCTTTAAAAAACTTAAGTTTTCAGCCCCGATTCAGTGGCTCACACTTATAATCCTAGCACTTTGGGAGGCTGAGCCCAGAGGATTGTTTGAGGCCAGGAGTTCAAGACCAGCCTGGGCAACATAGCAAGACCCCATCTCTAATTTTAAAAAATAAAAATAAATTAGTTTTGAGATATAACTTACATACAATAAAATTCAATAATTTAAAAAGTATGGCTTACTGAGCTCTGACAAATGTTTACAGTCATATAATGACTGCCACAATCATGATAAAGACCACAGAATATCCCCCATCACCCTGAAAACTTCCCTTGTACTTCTTTGCAGCCAATCCTATACCCTGCCTCTGACCCCTGGAAACCTCTGAGCTGCTTTCTGTTTTGCCTTTTCCAGAATGTCATATAAATAGAATCATATAGTATTTGGATATAAATGGAATCATTAGTATTTAGTCTGCTAGGCATATACTTGCTTCTTTCACATACCACAATGCTTTTGAGATTTGTCCATGTTCTTGCCTGTGTCCACAATCTGTTCCTTTTATTGCTCAATAGTATTCCATTGCACGGACACACTGTGAGTGGTTGAACAGTTGAGGGACATTTGTGTTATTTCCAATTTGGCTATTATGAACAAAGTAGCTATAAACATTTGGGTCAAGAATTTTGTGTGAACGTATTTTTTCATTTCCCTTTAAAATTTTTTTATTATTTCTTTTTCTTTTCTTAAAAATCCCAAATGTGATAGTATTTTATTTTTCTTGAGTAAATACCTAAAAATAGAATTGCTAGGTCATATTATAAGCATATGTTTAGCTTTAAAAGTGGCCCAACTGCTTTCCAAAGCGGCTGTACCATTTTGCATTCCTACTAACGATGTGTGAGAGTTCCCGTTGCTCCGCATTCCTGTCAACATTGTCAGTCTTTATAAGTGTAGCCATTCTAGTGGGTGTATACAGGTGTTACATTGTAGTTTTAATTTGCATTTACCTAATGACTATTCATGTCATGCACCTTTTCATGTACTTATTGGCCATTTATATATCCATATTGGTGAGGTGTCCAAATCTTTTTTTTTTTTAATTATACTTAAAGTTTTAGGGTACATGTGCACATTGTGCAGGTTAGTTACATATGTATACATGTGCCATGCTGGTGCACTGCACCCACTAACTCGTCATCTAGCATTAGGTATATCTCCCAATGCTAGAGGTATCCAAATCTTTTGCCCATTTTTTTTTTTTTAATTTTTATTTTTATTGATCATTCTTGGGTGTTTCTCACAGAGGGGGATTTGGCAGGGTCATGGGACAATAGTGGAGGGAAGGTCAGCAGATAAACAAGTGAACAAAGGTCTCTGATTTTCCTAGGCAGAGGACCCTGCGGCCTTCCGCAGTGTTTGTGTCCCTGGGTACTTGAGATTAGGGAGTGGTGATGACTCTCAACGAGCATGCTGCCTTCAAGCATCTGTTTAACAAAGCACATCTTGCACCGCCCTTAATCTATTTAACCCTGAGTGGATACAGCACATGTTTCAGAGAGCACAGGGTTGGGGGTAAGGTCACAGATCAACAGGATCCCAAGGCAGAAGAATTTTTCTTAGTAAAGAACAAAATGAAAAGTCTCCCATGTCTACTTCTTTCCACACAGACACGGCAACCATCCAATTTCTCAATCTTTTCCCCACCTTTCCCCGCTTTCTATTCCACAAAACCGCCATTGTCATCATGGCCCGTTCTCAATGAGCTGTTGGGTACACCTCCCAGACGGGGTGGTGGCCGGGCAGAGGGGCTCCTCACTTCCCAGTAGGGGCGGCCGGGCAGAGGCGCCCCTCACGTCCCGGACGGGGCGGCTGGCCGGGCAGGGGGCTGACCCCCACCTCCCTCCCGGACGGGGCAGCTGCCGGGCGGAGACGCTCCTCACTTCCCAGACGGGGTGGCTGCCGGGCGGAGGGTCTCCTCCCTTCTCAGATGGGGCGGCTGGGCAGAGACGCTCCTCACCTCCCAGACGGCGTCGCGGCCGGGAAGAGGCGCTCCTCACATCCCAGACGGGGCGGCGGGGCGGAGGCGCTCCCCACATCTCAGACGATGGGCGGCCGGGCAGAGACGCTCCTCACTTCCTAGATGGGATGGCGGCCGGGAAGAGACGCTCCTCACTTTCCAGACTGGGCAGCCAGGCAGAGGGGCTCCTCACATCCCAGACGATGGGCGGCCAGGCAGAGACGCTCCTCACTTCCCAGACGGGGTGGCGGCCGGGCAGAGGCTGCACTCTGGACTTTTGCCCATTTTTAAATTAGGTTTTTTGTCTTCTTTTTAAGTTGTAAGAGTTCCATATGTATAGATTCTGGATATAAGCTCTATAGTAGGTATACATTCTACACATATTTTCTCCCAGTCTGTGGTTTGCCTTTTTTTTTTCCTTTTCTTTTCTTTCTTTCTTTCTTTTTCTTTTTCTTTTTTTTTTTTTTTCAGACAGGGTCTCACTCTGTCACCCAGGCTGGAGTGCAGTGGCACGATCTCGGCTCACTGCGCCCTGCGTCTCCTGGGCTCAAGCAATTCTCCCACCTCAGCCTCTTGGGCAACTGGGACTACAGGCATGAGCCACCACACTCAGCTAATTTTTGTATTTGTTGTAGAGACGGAGTTTTACCATGTTGCCTAGGCTGGTCTCAAACTCCTGAGGTCAAGCTACCCACTGGCCTGGGCCTCCCAAAGTGCTAGGATTACAGGCGTGAGCCACCACACTTGGCCAGCTTTTCATTTTCTTAATAGTTTTTTTTTGGAAGAACAAAACTTTTCCACTTTGATAAGGTCCAATTTTCCAATTTTTTCTTTTACGCTTCATGTTTTTTGTGTCTTAAGAAGTCTTTGCTGAATGCAAGGTCGCAAAGATCTTCTTTTATGTTTCCTACATTTTAGAGCATTAGCTCTTATTTTTAGTTTTATGACCCATTACTTATGATGTAACAGTTGAGGTTCATTTTTTGGCATATGGCTTCCAATTGTTCCAGCAATACTTGTTAGAAAGACTAAAATTTCCCCCATTGAATAACCCTGGTACCTTTGCTAAAAATCTGTTTGCCATGAACGTGTAAGCCTGTAAGCATATGAAGGGATGCAGAACATCATCAGTAATTAGGGAAATGCAAATTGAAACTACAGTAAGATTCTACTTCATACCCACTCAGAAAACTATAATTAAAAAAAGACAGGCTGCTGGGAATGTAAAATGGTGTAGTCACTTTAGAAAGCCATCTGGCAGTTCCTCAAAATATGAACACATATTTACCATATGACCCATTAGTTTCACTCCTAGGTATATACTTGTTCATAGCAGCATTATTCAGAATACCTCAAAAACAGAAACAGTCCACATACTCATCAGCTAATGAGAAGATAAACAAATTGTGGTATAGTATATGAGTACAATGGAATATTATTCAGCCCTAAAAAGGAATGAAGTACTGATGCATGCTAAAACATTATCGTGAAAACATAATGCTAAGTGAAAGAAGCCGGCCTGAAGAAACTTCATATTACATGAGTCAATGTATATGAAATGTCTGGAGTTGGCAAACTACAGAGACAGAAAGTGGAGTAACAGTTGCCTAGGGTAGGGGTGAAGTGGTGGTATAAGGTGAAATGGGAAGTAATTGCTAATGGGTTCCAATTGTTTCCAGTGAGGTTTCTTTTTGGGAGAAGATAATTTTTTTCTTCTTTTTTTTTTAGACAGTCTGTCTCTGTCACCCAGGCTGGGAGTGCAGTGGCACGATCTTGGCTCACTGCATCTTCTGCCTCCTGGGCTAAAGCAATCCTCCTGCCCTCAGCCTCCCAAGTAGCTGGGACCACCAGCACGCACCACCACGCTCAGCTAATTTGTGTGTGTGTGTGTGTGTGTGTGTGTGTGTGTGTGTGTGTGTGTTTGTTTTGGTAGGAGAGGGTTCTCCCAGGCTAGGGGAGAGGAATTTTCTAAAACTAGGTTGTGGTGATGCTGCACGACCCTCTCAATTTATTAAAAGCCATCGACTTGTATACTTTATTTTTTCTGTGAACTTTGTAGAGAAGTAGATTTGTGTACTTTAAGTGGGTAAATTATATGGCATGTGAATTATGCCTCAATAAGGCAGTTTTTAAAATCAAAAAATGTATAATTGTTGAATTTAAAAGATTGTTCCGGCTGGGCATGGTGGCTCATGCCTGTAACAGCACTTGGGGAGGCTGAGGTGAGAGGATCACTTGAGCCTACAAGGTCGAGGCTGCAGTGAGCCATGATCGTGCCACACACTCCAGCTTGGGCAACAGAGCAAGACCTCGTCTCAAAATAAAATAGTTTTGTTCCTTAAAGTTATATTCTTGTTTCCACTACTACTATGAAACAATTATTTCCAGTGTTTGAAACGGCAGCTGTGTGTCTTCTCTCTGACATTGTTAAAATTTTTTCTAAAGTCACAGCACACACACACACACAGGCATACTAAGAAAGAAAGAAAAGTTTAGTAAGTAAGTTTAGTAAGTTTCATTGATGGGTCAATTACATAAAGAAACAGCAAGTGAAGTAAAAATAAAGTACACTGGAGAACCTGCAGACCACTGGGAATCCCAACTGACCTGAGTTTCAATCTGGTTGCTCCCCTGACGCATGGGTGTCACCTGACCAGTGAGAGTATGGAACTGCTGCCTCCTCCCCAAGCCTCTCCTGTACAGGAAGACTTCAGTCCTGTAGCCTTCCCAGTTCTCCTGCATATCATCCTGTGTTTTTATATTAGAAACAACATTTCCCCAGAGGTTTAATTTCTGCTTTGAAAGATCTATATGAAAGAGCCAAGATACAGTTAAGAAGGAAGGAATGTGCCATCATCTGTGTGTTTAAAATTCTGTTTCGGGGCTGGGCGTGGTGGCTCATGCCTGTAATCCCAGCACTTTGGGAGGCTGAGGTGCGCGGATCACCTGAGATCAGGAGTTCGAGAACAGCCTGACCAACGTGGTGAAACCCCGTCTCTACTAAAAGTACAAAAATTGGCTGGGTATGGTGGTGGGCACCTGTAATCTCAGCTACTCGGGAGGCTGAGGCAGGAGAATTACTTGAGCCCAGAAGGCGGAGGTTGCAGTGAGCCAAGATCGCACTACTGCACTCCAGCCTGAGTGACAGAGCAAGACTCTGTCTCAAAAAAATAAACAGAGAGTCTGTGAACTCAGAAGGCATACAATTCTTATAAACACTTTTCACTGTGTTAAATTTATAATGTTACATATTTGACAGTGCATTCATAGAAATTCTAAGTACTTAGTAGCTAAACGTAAAAAAAGTGCACTTAATTTTTAGGCCACTACATACCTGTGACCAGTTGTGTCAACATTTGTAAATCAATAGGACTTGTATTTACTTGACCACTCCACGCTCTGGATGCTTCTTTATTCACTGACTAGAATTACAGGAAAATCGTGCCCAAGTAAACTTCGGGTTCAAGCGGTTTTTTTGGCTATGGAGAGGACTTGATTAGAGATTCAGCCCCAGCCCAGCCCCTTTCCTCACCAAGAGTAAGGGAATAGCAGGGGCTCTCCTTAAGTACTGGGGAGGTGGTCTGTATTTTTCCTGCATGCTCTCCTGGGCCTAGATTCAATCTTGCTCCTCTGGCTGGATATGACCCAGGTGGTAGTGGTGATGGCAGCGTATCTTGTTCACTCCAGCTGAGACTCTACACTATTCCATAATGCCCCTCTGGCCTAGCAACTTAGTCTCTAAGTGAACTCTAGCTCAGTGAAAGGGACAATCTTCCCCAGCTGGGAATATCCCGCAGGAAGAGGGTTGACTAGAAAGAAGGCCTGTCTCTGCTCAAACCCCAGACTGAGCTACAGGTTTCTCTTGTCCCCAGCCTCTCACCTCCATAAGCCCTGCTCATGGCTGCTGAGGGGCTTGTCTTCTGACCAGTTCTGGCTGCTACCCTCTCCTGCCACCAGGGCTTTTGTGCAGTAAGGATGGCATGAGGCATAATTGCTAGTCAAGACCAAGAATGTGAGTTATTGCTAAGTTTCTCATACATGATATCAGTATTATGGTTATACTGGAAAATGTCCTTTTTTAGGAGACGCATGCTGAAGTTTTGAGATCAAGTGTGACATGGTTTGAGTGTCCCCACTCAAATCTCATCTTGAATTCCATGTTGTGGGAGGGACCCGGTGGGAGGTAATTGAATCATGGGGGCAGGTCTTTCCCGTGCTGTTCTTGTGATAGTGAATAAGTCTCATGAGATCTGATGGTTCTATAAGGGGATTCTAAAATTAGCTTGTGGTGATGCCAGTAAGACCTCCTCAATTTATTAAAAACCATTGACTTGGCCAGCGTCTCTACTAAAAATACAAAAATTAGCTGGGCATGGTGGCGGGCAAGTGTAATCCCAGCTACTTGGGAGGCTGAGGCAGGAGAATGGCTTGAACCTGGGAGGCAGAGGTTGCAGTGAGCCGAGATCATGCCACTGCACTCCAGCCTGGCAACAGACTGAGACACGGTCTAAAAAAAAAAAAAAAACACCACTGACTTTTATACTTTATTTCTTCTGTGAACTTTGTAGAGAAGTAGATTTGTATACTTTAAGTGGATAAATTGTACGGCATGTGAACTATACCTCAATAAGGCAGTTTTTAAAATCCAAAAATATGTAATTGTTGAATTTAAGTTTGTTCCGGCTGGGCATGGTTGCTCATGCCTGTAAGAGCACTTGGGGAGGCTGTTATATTCTTGTTTCCACTAGTAATATAAGGGGGAGTTTCCCTGTACAAGCTCTCTCTTTGCCTGCTGCCATCCATTTAAGATGTGACTTGCTCCTCCTTGCCTTCCACCATGATTGTGAGGCCTCCCAGCCATGTGGAACTGTACATCTATTAAATCCTTTTTCCTGCATAAATTACCAAGTCTTGGGTATGTCTTTATCAGCAGCATGAAAACGAACTAATACAGTAAATTGGTACCAGTAGAGTGGTATTGAAAAGATACCTGAAAATGTGGAAGCGACTTTGGAACTGGGTAACAGGCAGAGGTTGGAACAGTTTGGGGAGCTCAGAAGAAGACAGGAAAATGTGGAAAAGTTTGGAATTCCCTAGAGACTTGTTGAATGGCTTTGACCAACATGCTTATAATGATATGGACAATGAAATCGAGGCTGAAGTGGTTGCAGATGAAGATGAGGAACTCGTTGGGAACTGGAGTAAAGGTGACTCTTGCTATGTTTTAGCAAAGAGAATGGTGGCATTTTGCCCCTGCCTTAGAGCTCTGTGGAACTTTGAACTTGAGAGAGATGATTTAGGGTATCTGGCAGAAGAAATTTCTAAGCAGCAAAGCATTAAAGAGGTAATTTTGGTGCTGTTAAAAGCATTCAGGTTTTTTTTTTTTTTTTTGATATGGAGTCTTGCTCTGTCGCCCAGGCTGGAGTGCAGTGGTGCGATCTCAGCTCACTGCAAGCTCCACCTCCAGGGTTCATGCCATTCTCCTGCCTCAGCCTCCTGAGTAGCTGGGACTACAGGCGCCCACCACCATGCCCAGCTAATTTTGTTTTTGTATTTTTAGTAGAGACAGGGTTTCACCGTGTTAGCCAGGATGGTCTCCATCTCCTGATCTTGTGATCTGCCTGCCCCGGCCTCCCAAAGTGCTGGGTTTACAGGTATGAGCCACCACACCCAGCCAGCATTCAGTTTTAAAAGGGAAACAGAATAAAAATTTGGAAAATTTGCAGCCTGACAATGCAATAGAAAAGAAAATCCCATTTTCTGAGGAGAAATTCAAGCCAGCTGCAGAAACTTGCATAAGTTAAGAAGAAGCCAAATGTTAATCCACAAGACAATGGGGAAAATGTCTCCAGGGCATGTCAGAAGTCTTCATGGCAACCCTTCCCATCACAGGTCCTAAGGCCTAGGAGGAAAAAATGGTTTAGTGGGTCAGGCCCAGGGTCCCCCTGCTGTGTGCAGCCTAGGGACTTGGTGCCGTGTCACAGCCAATCCAGCCATGGCTAAAAGGGGCCAACATAGAGCTTGGGCTGTGGCTTCAGAGAGTGCAAGCCCAAAGCCTTGGCAGCTTCCACATAGTGTTGAGCCTGTGAGTGCACAGAAGTCAAGAACTGGGGTTTGGGAAACTCTGCCTAGATTTCAGAAGATGTATGGACACACCTGGATGTCCAGGCAGAAGTTTGCTGCAGGGGTGGGGCCCTCATGGAGAACCTCTGCTAGGGCAGTGTGGAAGGGAAATGTGGGGTAGGAGTCTCCACACAGAGTCCCTACAGGGGCACCTTCAGGTGGAGCTGTGAGAAGAGGGCCACCATCCTCCAGACCCCAAAATGGTAGCTTCACTGATAGCTTGCATCATTCACCTGGAAAAGCCACAGATACTCAACACCAGCCTGTGAAAGCAGCTGGGAGGCTGCACCCTGCAAAGCACACAGGGGCAGAGCTGCCCAAGACCATGGGAACCCACCTCTTGCACCAGTGTGACCTGGATGTGAGACAGAGAGTCAAAACAGATCACTCTGGAGTTTTAAGATTTGACTGCCCTGCTGGATTTTGGACTTGTATGGGGACTGTAGCCCCTTTGTTTTGGCCAATTTTTCCCATTTTGAACAGCTGTATTTACCCAATGCCTGTACCCCCATTGTATCTAGGAAGTAACTAACTTGCTTTTGATTTTACAGGCTTATAGAGGAAGGGACTTGCCTTGTCTCAGGTGAGACTTTGGACTGTGGATTTTTGAGTTAATGCTGAAATAAGACTTTGGGGGACTGTTGGGAAAGCATGATTGGGTTTGAAATGTGAGGACATGAGATTTGGGAGGGGCTGAGGGTGAAATGATATGGTTTGGCTGTGTCTTTACCCAAATTTCATCTTGAATTCCCACATGTTGTAGGAGGGACCCAGTGGGAGGTAATTAAATCATGGGGACAGGTCTTTCCCATGCTGTTTTCATGATAGTGAATTAAGTCTCACAAGATCTGATGGTTCTATAAGGGGGAGTTTCCCTGCACAAGCTCTCTCTCGGGTTGCCTGCCGCCATCCATGTAAGACATGACTTGCTCCTCCTTGCCTTGCACCATGATTGTAAGGCCTCCCTAACCACGTGGATCTGTAAGTCCATTAAACTTTTTTCCTGTATAAATTATCCAGACTCAGGTATGTCTTTATCAGCAGCATGAAAACAGACTAATACAAAGTGTCAAGGTACCTCACTTTCAAATAGTTCAGCAAACAAGACACACACACATACATACATACAAAACATATGTGCTGTGCATTACTGTTTTTCACTAATTCTTTCCTTGTAAATAGGAAAATTGTGGTCAAGGGAGAGCTGGTCATAGGCTGATGGCACCAGAACTACACGATTCTGCCAGAATGTGACTGATTAATCCTGAAAAGTATTTCTGCCCTTGGCAAGGAGTGGTTGGGTGGCCCTGTATCAGCCTCAAGTTTGTGCATCCAGGACCACAAACTGATTGTAATTTGGAGAGGGTACATGAAATGTGAAATAATTTGGTAGGCCAGGGTGGGCGGATCACCTGAGGTCAAGAGTTCAAGACCAGCCTGGCCAACATGGTGAAACCCCATCTCTATTAAAAATACAAAAATTGGCCAGGCGCAGTGGCTCATACCTGCAATCCCAACACTTTGGGAGTCCGAGGTGGGTGGATTACTTGAGGTCAGGAGTTCAAGACAAGCCTGGCCAACATGGTGAAACCCCATCTCTACTAAAAATACAAATTAGCTGGGCATGGTGGCGGGCACCTGTAATCCCAGCTACTCGGGAGGCTGAGGCACGAGAACTGCTTGAACCTGGGAGATGGAGGTTGCAGTGAGCCGAGATGGTGCCACTGCATTCCAGCCTGGGTGACAGAGTACAACTCCATCTTGAAAACAACAACAAAAAAAATTAGCCAGGTGTAGTGGCAAACCCATGTAATCCCAGCTATTCAAGAGGCTGAGGCACGAGAATTGCTTGAACCCAGGAGGCAGAGTTTGCAGTGAGCCAAGATCATGCCATTGCCCTCCAGCCTGGGTGACAGTAAGACTGTCTCAAAAAAAAAAAAAAAAAAGAAAAAAGAAATGTGAAATGAGCATGTTTAGGTGTCTGTGAGTTCAGCATTGGTTAGGAGAATGTGTAGCCCTGATAGCTGGCGTTAAAAATAATCTGAAGAGGCTGGGTGTGGAGGCTCATGCCTGTAATCCCATCCCTTTGAGAGGCCGAGGTGGGGATCACCTGAGGTCAGGAGTTTGAGACCAGCCTGGGCAACATGGCAAAACTGAGTCTCTACCAAAAATACAAAAATTAGCTGGGTGTGGTGGCAGGTGCCTGTAATCCCAGCTACTCAAAAGGCTGAGGCAGGAGAACTGTTTGAACCTGGGAGGTGTAGGTTGCAGTGAGCTGAGATCATACTACTGCACTCCAGCCTGGGTGACACAGCAAGACTTCATCTCAAAAAATAAAAATAAATAAATAAAAATAAATAAAATAAAAATAACTTGAAGAACAAGCAAAGGGTTGGGTCTAGTTGTCAGGCAATCCTGCCACCAGTTCCCTTCAGGCTTTTTTTTCTAACCACATTTTAACTTTCTGGATCTCCTTTGATTCATTTAATATCTTATGAGTACTGTTTGTGTTGGCTGGGAAGCCTAGGACAGGCCACACGATATGCTCTGAAGTGAAAGAGGGTAGTCTTTGCCTTCAAGCATCTTACACTCTAATAAAAATAGAAAAGCACGTAGTTATGCCTCGGTACTCATGGGTTCCACAGTCTGTGGAGTCAATCAACCGTGGCTCAAATGTCTTCGGGGAAGAAAAAACAACAGAACACAACTATACAACTATACAATGATAAAAAATAATACAAATAAAAAATACAGAATACTATTTATATAGCATTTCCATTGTATTAAGGATTATAAGTAATCGAGATGATTTAACGTTTATAGGAGGACGTACATAGGTTATTTGCAAAATATTATTTTAACATAATTCTTTAAGATTCATAAATTAATCGGATCTGCAAAGATCCTTCTGCCAAATGTTTATAAATTTACTTATAATTAAATATAAATATTAATAATTAATATTATCAATATTATTTAAGTTACATAGCAATCTCATAATATTCACAATATTTTAAATTAAATAATTAAAATTTATATTTAATGGTAATAAGTAATACAGGTTCCAGTGATTGGAACCTGTTATCTTTGGAGGATGTTTTTCAGCCTTCTACAGGTGGGGGACATTGAAAGCTTGCTTCCGAGGGGTGACCACTGAAGTTCCTATTTGTCACCTTGAGTGGCCATTTGACTATTAGAACTAAGTTATATTCAAAATGATGTCCTGGTTCTCTGTAAACTTAGGCTGGGGTGCTTCTTTTGCTTACCCTGCCAGCGTAGCCGCCTCAGCAGTATGCACCTGACTGTTCTTGGACTTCTCAGCTATGTGAGCCAATACATTCCTTTTTATTCTGTTAAGCCAATTTGAATTTGGTTTCTGTCACCTGCAACAGGAGTCCTGACTAAAACTGAATTTATGAAAAAGAGATCTCCACAAACAAGAATAATGGTAACCAATCAGATGATCTCTTCAAAGCTTTGAATATAGGCCAGGTACGGTGGCTCACACCTGTACTCCCAGCACTTTGGGAGGCTAAGACAGGAGGATTGCTTGAGGCCAGGAGTTTGAGACCAGTTTGGCCAACATAGCAAGGCTCCTCTCTATAAAAAAATTAAATTAAAATTTAAAAAACTCTAAATATAAGAGTAGGCAGTATGAGTGAAAGCTGAAAGAACATGCAGAGAAGACAGCAATCCAGGCCTCAATGAAAAGGAACATAACTCTTGACACCCTATCTAGGCCTCTATTCTCTTTTCTATCTTCTGCTTCGTCAGAATTTCTGCTTATTAATAACTGCAACTTATTCTCACTCCACCAGCATCATGGCCTGGATTGCTGCATAATACCCTAAACTGATTTGACCCTGGAACCCTTTTTGTTTTTTAGAAACACAGCAAAAGGTAATTGTCAGCAAAGCAATTTGGGCTTTACACAGAACAAGCAAGAACAGGTTTCCTCTTCCAACTTGGTAATGCTCCTCATGACATCCTGGGATCAGAAATAACTAATGTTATTTATTTATTTATTTAGAGACAGAGTCGCTCTGTCACCTAGGCTAGAGTGCAGTGGTGTGATCTTGGCTCACTGCAACCTCTACCTTCTGGGTTCAAGCGATTCTCCCGTCTCAGTCTCCTGAGTAGCTTGGATTACAGGCACGTGCCACTAGGCCCAGCCAATTTTTGTATTTTTAGTAGAGATGGGTTTTTGCCATGTTGGCCAGGCTGGTTTCTAACTCCTGACCTCAGATGATCTGCCCGCATCGGCCTCCCAAAGTGCTGGGATTACAGGCGTGAGTCACTGCGCCTGGACAGAAATAACTAATATGGTGACCAATTTGGACCAGGATGTGGGCTTCCCTACGGTAGGCAGCTTAACAAGGTCCTTTCCAGACAAGTCGTTGTGCCTGCAATTTTCCTGGATCTTTAAGTTACTTAACATTTCTAAGTCTTAATTCCTGTGGCACTAAAATGGGGGAAATCACTTCAATGATTCGGAACAAGAAATCAAATATACGTAAAATGGCTGGTACATGGTACACAATGAATATTCATTCTCTTCCTCCAAACTTTAACATATCACTTACTATATAAATATCCAATTGTCTTTTGTTCAAATATCTTAAAATTTGTACAGCAGAAGAGTATGATTTTACATATAACAAACAGCTTAAATAAAGAACCAGGAGCTTTTTTTTTTAATCTGAAAAACAGTTTTGCCACAATTCTTCAAATGTTTTTATTGGATTTAAAATTCATTTAAGGGGTATACAGATATACAACTAGTTTGATCAGCTACTAATATATTTTGGTGTCCCTTTATTTTTGTACCCAAGAGCCAGTTCACTTTTTCTCCATGTTCAATATTTAGCTTTGGTAAAATGTTGCCATGTTCTTCCTCATCTGTTACTGAAGCGTTAGTATTTCCACCCTGCTTGGTGCAAGTTCCTCTTTTAGGTTTCTTCCTGTGGGTACGTTTTGTGGGACTCTTCTGTTTTTTCTCAACTTCACTGTTTGCATCCCACAACGTGATCTTCCCATCATTCCCTCCAGTAAGCAGCAAATAGGATTCTGGGAGAAAGCAGACCTGGGATACCCCTGAAGTGTGGCCCTTAAATCCCAGTTCCTGTTCACACTTAACTCCCATCACCCGAAAGATTCGAACCTTACCATCTTCTGCACCACAACTAAAAATATTACCACACGAAGCCACAGAGATAGAATGGGCTAGGGCAGGGTTTAAGAGCTGACCAGGTGACTGTGGGCCTTCCATTTCTTCTGTTTCATCCTCCTGTAAATTTGTAATCCAGAGTGGTCGGGCTTTTTGAAGACTCCACAGCATCACCTTTACATAAGAAGAAATTACACAGTCATACAAAATGCTAGCCAATTTGCTCAACTATCATGCTTATTCAGCTTCTAATAAAATCGTTAAAGTAGTCTGAGAATGAGCAGTAGTGCACGTTCTCAGCAGTATTAAAAAATAATCAAATGCTGCCATAACATGCCAGTGGAATGCTACCCCGGGACTAAAACTAGAGTGCGGTTAGGTAGAATTAAACAAGATCCTGAATAATTTTTGATTAATAAACTCCATTAAAGTGTAATTGTTAAGCAGCTGCCAGTTTCTAAAGGTTTTTCTGCTCTCATCTCTTCAAGTAAAACCAAAGATTATCAAATTTGCTAGTTTTAGTCTATGCTGGTTATAGGTCAAAAGGCCTATCAACTAAATAAACTCGATCTGGACTATCATTGAAATGCTTTCCATCTGGAATGCCTTCCTTTCCTTTCACATTACCCAATTACCCATCCAAGGGGCTTAAGCTCAGTCCTGGTGCCTCCAAGAAGGCTTTCCTATTTCAGCCCGCTTCTCCTTCCTGTATCTAGTTTCTATTCTATTAATTGACATATTCTACTAGCTTATCAGTTTCTTGAGACTTACTTAGTCTTTGCTAATGCCTAGCATAATGGCTGAGAAAGAGGAGAAATTCCAAACATGTCTGTTGATTAATATGACATCCTGGTATTAATTTCATTTGGCTTTTCGTTGTTCCCGACCTGGTGCTTTTTGTTTTTTTTAAATAAGCTTTGTGAATGGGTTTTACATTATCATCTAGTGATTCATTCTTTTCCTGTATCAACCATTTTGCAAAGAAAAATACTCTTAATACTTTCAAAGCAAACAGACAGCTTTATCATGTAGTTTACCATCATCCCTGAATTATAACTCACAATTTTAACAGACACTGGAAGAAGCATGAGCTTGTTTAGACAGTGAAAAGCATAGATCTGAATTGGCAAGATTACTATTGCTAATGCTATTAAGAATTTGGTTTCCTATTCAAGGTAACTTCCCTTATGATTATTCTCAGTGGCCTATTTTCAAAAGCAGTGACATCTAGTAACACTTACATTCTGCTTCTCTTAGATGAAAATCTCTTTGAATTGGATTTATAACATTATACTATGTGACTAACAATCACTGTTTGGGTGAAGTTAAAGTACGAACAAATTGAAATAAGCTAAAGTAAAATAAATAAATATTAGAAAATATAACACGAAGGAGTGCTGAAACTTGATATGAAAATAGTTTTTTTTTTAAAAATAGGGTCTCACTTTGTCACCCAGGCTAGAGTGCAGTGGCATGACCATGGCTCACTGCAGCCTTGACCTCTTGGGTTCAAGTGATCCTTCCACCTCAGCCTCCCAAGTAGATGGGACTACAGGCGCATGCTACCACACCCAGCTAATTTTTGTATTTTTTTGTAGAGATGGGGTTTTTGCTATGTTGCCCAGGCTGGTCTCCAACTGCTGGGCTCAAGCGATCCACTCATCTCCACCTCCCAAAGTGATGGGATTACACGCATCAGCCACAATGCCCCAAAACAGTTTCTATTAAAAAATCTGAACACGGCTGGGCACGGTGGCTCACACCTCTAATCCCAGCACTTTGGGAGGCTGAGGTGGGCGGATCACGATGTCAGGAGATCGAGACCATCCTGGCTAACACAGTGAAACTGCATCTCTACTAAAAATACAAAAAATTAGCTAGGCATGGTGGTGGGCGCCTGTAGTCCCAGCTACTCGGGAGGCTGAGGCAGGAGAATGGCGTGAACCTGGGAGGCAGAGCTTGCAGTGAGCCGAGATCACACCATTGCACTCCAGCCTGGGCAACAGAGCAAGACTCCGTCTTTAAAAAAAAAAAAAAGAAAATACACACACACACACACAGAAAATGGACATTCTAGAATCTGCTAGCTTCACTGTATTGGCAGATAGACCCAGTTCTTTCTCATACAGCCCTTATGAATGGACTGTATTTTCTGTCCTCCAAAGACATTCAAACATGCACTGCACCCAGAGTGTTTCAGCAGCTGAAACACCTTTTGTATTTGACTTAAATCATCTAAATGTGTTAACAGCCATCCCAGATTCTACCAAGTCTAGAATCATTTCCACGTATTGAGGATTCCAGACTGTTCCTGTCTGGACATTCCCTTTATGCTTCTTGACTTTTCTAAAATGCTAAAGACTCCAAGGTGTTTCACACTTAATTTCTCAACCAGCTGTTCAAGCAGTTCTCATCCTAATCAAGAGAGCTAGAGATACTGAAAGAAAAGAATAAAGAGTTTGGGGCTTATGGTTCTGCAAAACATCGAAGGGAGAAAAAGTGGGGAACCAGCAAATGTTCAGAAGTGAATGTAATCATAACAAAGTGACCTTTCAAAACAAATTCCCCTTTTACAAAAACATTTCTTTCCACATAAAAGACTCGTCTTCAAGATAAAGAGCCTCTTCAGGCCAGGTGCAGTGGCTCATGCCTATAATCCCAGCACTTTGGGAGGCCATGGCAGGACTGCTTGAGCCCAGGAGTTCGAGACCAGCCTGGGGAACACAGGGAGCCAGCCCTCCTCTGCAGCAAAAATAAAAAAAATTAGCTGGGTGTGTCGGCTTGTGCCTGTAGTCCCAGCTATGCAGGAGGATGAGGTGGGAGGATCACCTGAGGGAGTGCGAGGCTGCGGTGAGCTCTAATTGTACCACTGCACTCCAGCCTGGATGACAAAGACCCTGTCTCAAAAACAAACAAACAAAAGAGCCTTCTCTACCATCCTGGTCTGTAAGTGTTGGGATTTTGGTTTTAAAAATCCAGAAAGAACAACAAACCTTTCAATCATTTGTTTTCAGATGCAGAAAGGGGCAGGGAAAGAAAATCAACATGTATGCTACAGAAATATGACAGTTTTAATTTTCTAAGTCTTTCAAGAAAAAAACTATAGTTGAATGGTAGGTATACAGGTATTTATTTAATTTTTTTTCTTTTCTTTTTTTTTTTTTGAGACAAGGTCTCACTGTCACCCAGGCTGGAGTGCAGTGGCACAATCTTGGCTCACTGCAACCTCAACCTCTCGGGATCAAGCAATTCTCCCGTCTCAGCCCCCCAAGTAGCTGGGACTACAGGTGCTCACTACACACCTGGCTACTTTTTGTATCTTTTGTAGAGATGGGGTTTCGCTATGTTGCCCAGGCTGGTCACAAACTCCTGAGCTCAAGCGATCCACCTGCCATGGCCTCCCAAAGTTCTGGGATTATAGGCATGAGCCACTGCGCCTGGCCTAATGTTATCCTTTACACCTCATATATATAAATATTACTTTGTACCTATTAAATAAAAAATTAAGCAGTCTCACGTGTCTTAAAGAACCACACTTTGCTTTTAGGGTCCCTGCCTCTTTGAATGCGCTTTGCCTATTTTATTTTTTTGAGACAGGGTCTCACTTTGTCATCCAGGCTGGAGTGCAGTGGCGAGATCATGGCTCACTACAACCTCCACCTCCCTGGGCTCAGGTGATCCTCCCACGTCAACTTCCTAAGTAGCTGGGACCACAGGTGGATGCTAGCACACCTGGCTAATTTTCGTATTTTCGGTAGAGATAGGGTTTTGCCATGTTGTCCAGGCTGGTCTCGAACTCCTGGGCTCAAGTGATCTGCCTGCCTTGGCCTCCCAAAGTGCTGGGATCCCAGGCATGAGCCCTCAGGCACATAAGCTACCACACCTGGCCCTGCCTAATTATTTAAACCTAAGTCAAAAGACATAACTTTATAATTACTGTTACATAAGAAAAAAGATAGGTATGCTGAACATGGCAATCATTCAATTCCTGCCTTGAGATAAAATTTGTTTGCTCAGAGAGAAGTAACTCAAAATAGTCAGAACTCCCTTCCACTATTACTGTGCCTACATTCTTGGGCTCCCCCATAGACTGGCTATCCTTAAAGTTTAGGATAATACTGGATCAACAGGTTTTAGGAAGACAACTGTGGAAATAATTATAGAGTTTCAACTTCAGTTAAGGAAGTCATTTCTTAAAAGCATGGTTGTATGGCTGTTACATCACAACCCAGTGTAGAAACAAATCTACCATGAACCTTTAGCAATTTTACCAGGCAAATCAAAATAAGAAATTACCTGAGCCTCCCTTTTTCAAAATACTTGTTTCCAGGGCTGTTCACTAGCAAGTGCCTGCCACTAAAACGTCTTACCTGGAACTGGGGGCAAGACAGTAAATTCTGAATGCCCATTCCTCATCTAATCTGAAAAGTACACATCACTTTTGCGTACCCAATTGTCTATTGCCATGCCTAGTGGTTAATGAACCACTGATGGAAAAGTGGTACAGCTGAAGGATGACAGAATGACTACTCAAAGACACACTGTACAATCTGCCTACTTAAAACATATCCATCTGGTTGTATAGGTCTTTCTTTACAACCACAAGGGCAGATTATCACCACTAGGGTGGAGAATGTAGGAGATTTATAAAGGGCTTGGTCAAAACCTAGGAGTGGAAAAGGAAGATAGAGGTTGTAGGGTCACTATGCCCCATACATGTAGAGTGAGTCTCAACCCAGGCACTACAGATGTTTTTGGGGAGACAATTCTTTATTGTTTGGAGACTATCCCAGCACTGCAGGACACCCACTGATTCTGCCTACTGAATACTGGTAGCTTGCAGGAGAGGGGAACAGCATGGTGACAACAAAAACAGTCTCATCATTCTTCAGTTATGAGGGGTATGCAGGGTTGGGGAGGGAAAGGTAAAGACCACTAGCCAAGAGGGTGGAAGTCATAACTGATGCTATTAAAAAGAACATGGAATCTTAGAAGATACTGTATGTAACTGAGAACAGAGATTAAATGCCTGAACAGTGCTGGACACATCGGTCATTCACAATGGTTCTCTCTCTAGAAGCCACCTGACCCCAAACCAAGAAACTTTTCTGTGACATTATTGATGATACTCTGCTTGAATACCTGTCATCTTAGAGAAAAAACATAGCCTTTGGAGCCAGAGAGATTGAGGTTTGAATCTCAGTCAGGTGGCAATGTAGATACTTCATGTGAATTTCAGTTTCTTTATTTATTAAAAAAAATAACTAGGAGGGTGTGATTAGAATTAAAACTAATATACACAAAGCATTGGCAAGAACTAAGTGCTCAACAGACAGAAATCATGACGACTCACTCCAGTGATGAGATTTACTCTCTCAAGAGGAAGCACATCCTGCCATGGGAACGTTCAAGCTATTTGAAAACGTTTACATTAAGCCCAAATCTGCTTTCCCATGACTTCTCTTATGAAGACCAGCACATTCCATTTTTTCCCCTCATGAAAACTAAGAATTAAACACCTCCAGTTCTCTACATAATGGGTTTCTAGATACATCTACTCTCCTGATGGACTTCCTCTGTATTTGGGCAATTTGTGATGCTCCTTTCTTTTTTCTTTTTTTTTTTTTGAGACAGAGTCTCACTCTGTTGCCTAGGCAGGAGTGCAGTGGCATGATCTCGGCTCACTGCAACCTCCACCTCCTGGGTCAAGCGATTCTGCTGCCTCAGCCTCCCAAGTAGCTGGGATTGCAGGAGCCCACCACCACGCCTGGCTAATTTTTGTATTTCTAGTAGAGACAGGGTTTCACCACGTTGGCCAGGCTGGTCTTGATGACCTCAAGTGATCTGCCCACCTCGGCCTTCCAAAGTGCTGGGATTACAGGCGTGAGCCACCGTGCCCAGCCGTGATGCTCCTTTCAAAACTCAGCATTGAATACAGTGCTCTGATCCTGATCACCAATACACACTATTTCAGTTAATGTACCCCAGAACTTTAAAGTAAAAACAGACCCCTCTAACTTTTTGTTTAAACAGAGTTTACAGAGAGTGGGTGGACCAACTCTGCCTTTAGTACTCACTGTTTGTTTAAACAGATGTTTACAATCAAATATTTGCATTTTCAGGTTTTAGGAGTATCTTACAGTATAGAGAAAGGAAAAGTAAAGGATTAATGATTACTTTGTGAATAAATTCTATTAGGTTTTATCAGACTAGCATTAAATGTAGAAATAAGGCTTA
This sequence comes from Homo sapiens, assembly GCF_000001405.40. Classification (NCBI taxonomy): domain Eukaryota; kingdom Metazoa; phylum Chordata; class Mammalia; order Primates; family Hominidae; genus Homo; species Homo sapiens. The sequence continues at coordinate 196,560,871 of NC_000003.12, forward strand.
TTGTTCATAAATGGATATGTTAGTAGAAAACAGAAAAAGCAAAGATATTTCGTGTGATCAATAATTTGATCCTGTTAGCAAATCCCACTTAGAAATTCCCCAAGTACTCTGTGCAAAAGCATCACCTGCATATCCAGTCCACATGACACCAGGCTCTGAGGCCTCTGAGGCCGAAAAGCCACTGAGGAGCAGATATTGGAATGTCTCTTCAAGGATCTGATAACTTTCTTGTTTTCCAAGTCTAGGATTTTGATTGCCCCAGAGTCGTCAGCAGAAGCCAGCAGGTTTTCCGTTTGATTCAATGAAAGACAATTGATTTCTTCTTCATTCACATGAAAATGGTCCAAGGAATCTTTGAGGGACCTGACATCCAGTACACTAATGGTTTCTCCATGTGAGGCATAGAGCTTGGTGGGACAGGAGGGAGAAAATAAGACACTGGTAACATCATCAGCCCCTTGGAACCGCGTGTGTCCTAATGGAGTTCCATCTTCACCCCAAGCCGTGAGATCTCCGCCCTCTGCTCCAGAAGCCAGCAGCCCTTCTTTACTTGCATTCAGGCAGAGGACAGGAGAAGAATGCCCACCCGTCCACTTGACTGCCATAATGGTCCCGGAGACTCTGTGAAGTGGGGGAAACAACTGTAATCTCATGTTTTATACATCGACTTGATGGGAGGAGACAGATGTAATAAACAATATTTCATCTTTTAAAATGTTTTAAAAATACATCTTAAAAAAACTCAATTAATTAAAAAAAAAAAAGACACTTAAAGATCACATCTCCAAAAGCCTAGCTGAACACAGGGTTGTATCCTGGCTGGCAAATACTTCAGTGGGCTTCCTTTGCCATCAGGGATCTAGGTAAGGCCAGTCCTCCAGTCTTTCATATGGAACCCACAGAAGAATAAACACTACATATTTTAAATTAAGAAAAATTATTTTAAAGAGAGGGCTGCAAAATCATCAGGTTATGCCTCTTATCTGAATAATGTTTTAGATGGTGAGCTCTGCAGCTAGGCTCTCCAGGTTTGCAGTAGCTAGGGGACTGGGCAAATTACTGAACCTGTCACCCACTTTTCTTCTCTATAAAATGAGGATAATAATGACACTCATTTCATAGGATCATAATATATGTAAATCACACATAATAGTGCCTGATACATAATGAATCCTCAACAAGCATTGCTATTGTTACTTTTTCGATTTTTATTAGGCCGGTGCAAAGCGGCATTACATACACTGCACCAGTACTCTCAAAGTGTGGTCTCCACACTAGCAGCATCAGCATCCCCTAGGAACTTGTCAGAAATGCAAATTGTCAGACCCAACCCTAGATCTACTGAATCTGAAAATGGGGGTGAGACCAAGCAGTGTGTTTTTGTTGTTGTTGTTTTGTTTTGTTTTCTGAGATGGAGTCTCGCTGCCGTTAGCCCGGGCTGGACTGCAATGGATGATCTCGGCTCACTGCAACCTCCGCCTCCCGGGTTCCAGCAATTTTCCTGCCTCAGCCTCCCGAGTAGCTGAGATAACAGGCACCCGGCACCATGCCTGGCTAATTTTTGTATTTTTAGTAGAGACGGGGTTTCACCATGTTGGCCAGGCTGGTCTCAAACTCCTGACCTCAGGTGATCCACCCACCTTGGCCTCCCAAAGTGCTGGGATTATAAGCGTGAGCCACCACGCCCGGCTGCAATGTGTTTTAGTAAGTCCTCCAGGTGATCCTGATGTACAGTGGAATTGCAGAATCTGTATTAAACTAATGACCACCTGGGGAAATGGTGAAAATGGCAGGCCCTTGGTCTCCCCACCAGACACTTATTCAGTAGGTTATCTAATTTTATCTCAAAACAACCCTTTTGATTGGTATTATTCCATTTTAGGGATAATAAAACCGAGTCTCAGAAATGTTAAATAATTTTCCCAAGGTCACTTGACTCTTAGGATTTGTAACAGATCCCAAATGTTTTGTTTTTGTTTTGAGACAGGGTTTTGCTCTGTCACCCAGGCTGCAGTGCAGTGGCACAATCGTGGCTCACTGCAGCCTTGACCTCCCAGGCCTAAGCAATCCTCCCACCTCAGTCTCCTGAGTAGCTCAGACCACTTATGTGCACCACCATGCCTGGCTAATTTTTATTTTATTAAATTTTTTTTTGCAAAGTCGGGGTCTCCCTATGTTGCCCAGGCTCCAAATATTTAAATAATGAAGGTCCTTTTCTAACAACTCCACCTGACAACAGTTTTGTTATTATTCTTTGAAGAAACAGAAAATGACCAAAAGTTACTAGTAAGTCATCAGTGCTTGAAAATGTACTCACATATGTTTAATCATATTATCATCTACCTGCACTTACACAACAGTGTAAAATTTAGATTTCTCATCCTCTAGGAATCCCAGATATACACACACTGGAAATGCCACATAATACCGGCCTGCCGTGCCCGCCTGCTGGTCAAGGCAAAAAGGAAATCAGGGCAATTTATACAACTCTAATCTTGGTCAAGACAAAAGGAAGCAAATAAATCTACCTGGACAAATTTAATTTTTCATTTCATAAGCGAAAGGAGAGCTTACCCGAGTGCCAGCCCCCAGAGCTGTTGTGCTATTTTCAGATAAGATACTTGAATTTAGCCCAGTGGTACAGAGATAAAATCATTTAAAATAATCTGGCAATCTGCCCAAAGTTTCCATTCCCAACACAAAGCTTTTTTTTTTTTTTGAGACGGAGTCTTGCTCTGTCGCCCAGGTTGGAGTGCAATGGCACAATCTCAGCTCTCTGCAACCTCTGCCTCCTATGTTTAAGCGATTCTCCTGCCTCAGCCTCCCAAGTAGCTGAGATTATAGACGCCTGCCACCACGCCAGGCTAACTTTTCCATTTTTAGTAGAGACAGGGTTTCACCATGTTGGCCAGGCTGGTCTTGAACTTCTGACCTTACATGATCCACCCACTTCAGCCTCCCAAAGTGCTGGGATTATAGGCGTGCGTCACCGCACCCAGCCTCCCCCTACTTTTAGTCACACATACGATCACTAATTAGACTGCAAAAAAATCACTGATCTATTAGTAATCAAGGTAACGGAAACGTGATCACAAAATCAAATACAGAAATGTTCATAAAAATAACAAAATAAAAAACAAAATTAAACTTTTGTTTTCAAGCAGAAGCACTCAACTAATATACAGAGGAAACTAACTGGAGACTGAAGCAATAATATTTAAAGGAGAGAATTGGAGAGGAAATGACTCAGAGGGAGGTAAAAACAGGGAGCCCTGGTGGTTTGATTTTTGCTGACAAGTACTGAAACAGCAGCAGGTAAATATGCCGTAACGAAGACTGTTGCCAAAAGTTCCAGATAAACCTAGATTTTAAACGAAAGGCACTGATAGTATTTAGGCTTAGGAACTGTAATACTGACTTACCTCATGATAAAGATGCTATCCTACAAATTTGAATTGAGTATTGAAAAGTCAATTTAAGTTACAAATAATTTTGTTTAACGATTTCAATTTTTTTTCTTTTTTCTTTTTTTTTTTTTTTTGAGACAGGGTCTTGCTCTGTCATGCAGGCCTTGACCTCCCCAGGCTCAAGTGATCCTCCCGCCTTAGCCTCCTGAGTAGCTGGAACTACAGGCTCTCACCACCAAACCCACCTAATTTTTTGTATTTTTTTTGTAGAGATGAGGTTTCCCCACATTCCCCAGGCTGTTCTTGAACTCCTGGGCTCAAGTGATCCTCCCGTCTCAGCCTCTCAAAGTGCTGGCATCACAGGCATGAGCCACTGCACCCAGCCAATGCTTTCAAATCTTTAGAATGTCGATCACTTTTTTGCCAAGTTATAGTTTTAATTTTGCTATGATGAATCAACTTTGAAGTCAGGAAGTCTGTACTCTAGAGCATTAAGATTTGCTGATATTTGTGTGCATACAGGTTTTGGATCCCAGCTGGGATTTTAGGTTTTCTCTGAAACAAGAATGAGGCAAGGTTTCTAGTGCTCCTGTTTCTCCATTACAAATCTACCCACAGGAGAGCCAAATAAATGCTGACTGACAGACAAAAGTTTTAGCAGGTTTTCTTCCTAATTTAATTCTTTTCTAGAAAAGATTAACTCAATCTTCAAGGTTCATTCAGTTAAGTTTTGCTCCGAAGTGTGAGAAGACAGGCAATAAACGAATTTTGTCCTTAAAGGGATTATTATAAAGACTACAGTTCCTATAAATTTTTCCACAGTGGAACCAGTAGTAACTCTTGTTCTATTAGTCTCACAAGACCCCAAGAACACTTTCATCTTATTAAACTCTACACACTAAACTCCTACTCTCTAAATCACATAGATAATATTTACTGATCATTTATCTAGTCAGAAAAATAAATAACTGTTACTGGGAATGTTAAAAAAAAAAAAAAGGCAGGGGCCAGGGGAGGCTGGGCGTGGTGGCTCACGCCTGCAATCCTAGCACTTTGGGAGGCTGAGGAGGGCGGATCACTTGAGGTCAGGAGTTCAAGACCACCCTGGCCAAGATGGAGAAACCCTGTCTCTACTAAAAATACAAAAATTAGCAGGGTGTGGTGGTACGTGCCTGTAATCCCAGCTACTCGGGAGGCTGAGGGCTTGAACCTGGGAGGTGGAGGTTGCAGTGGTGAACTGAGATTGTGCCACTGCACTCCAGCCTGGGTGAGAGTCGGGGTGAGGGGGCAGGGGGGAGTTTGGAAAGCCCCAGAAACAGAAATCCATAAACTCTGAGGCTATTAATTTTAGTCAATCAAGATTTATTATGCAAACTATTGATCAGCGATTCAACTAGAGCCTCCAAAATTGTTTACTTAGTCTATAAAACTAAAATGATTTGTTATTATTTGAAACACACCAAAGAACACTATGAAAAAGTTAATCAGATTGCTGTGATAGAAGGGTAGTGGGAAAAAATGTAATTAAAGTTGGGTTAAATCAAAACAATTTTTCAGAAATGAGTTGGCAAGCCACTGTTTCTTGCTTTTCTATGACTGCAACTGGAAAGCCTGGCAGAAAGAGGTGAAGTGTCACCATCCCCACATTCACGTATCAAGTCAACAAGCTTCTCTTTTCCTATGGAGTTGCCTAAAGCGTTAAGCACAGCAGTTAATCATATCCTACTGTAAATTACTTTAATTAGATAATAGATCACTTCCTTCTAATACCTAAAGAAATCACACAGAGTGGGTGAGGGAAAGGTGAGTTTTTTCTTGTGTTTTTTTTTTGAGACAGTATCTCCCTCTGTTACCCATACTGGAGTGTAGTGGCCCAATCTCTGCTCACTGCAACTTCCACCTTCGGGGCTCAAGTAATCCTCCCACCTCAGTCTCCCAAGTAGCTGGGATTACAGGCATGCACCACCACGCCCAGCTAATTATCTTATTTTTTGTAGAGACAGGATTTCACCATGTTGCCCAAGCTGGTCTAACTCCTGAGCTCAAGCAATCCACCCACCTCGGCCTCCCAAAGTGCTGGGATTACAGGCATGAGCCACTGTGCCCTGCCAGGTGAGTTATTTTGAGAGCATTTTTTTCTTTTTTTTTTTTTTGAGACAGAGTTTCGCTCTCGTCGCCCAGGCTGGAGTGCAATGGTGCAATCTCGGCTCACTGCAACCTCCGTCTCCCAGGTTCAAGCGATTCTTGTGCCTCAGCCTCCTGAGTAGCTGGAACTACAGGCATGCACCACCACGCCCGGTTAATTTTTGTATGTTTGGTAGAGATGGGGTTTCACCATGTTGGCCAGGCTGGTCTCAAACTCCTGACTGCAGGTGATCCGCCCGCTTCGGCCTCCCAAAGTGCTGGGATTCCAGGCGTGAGCCACGGCACCCGGCCGAGAGCATTTTTTAAAAGGGTGAAGTGCCACAGCCGGCAGTTCTCATCAGCCAGAGCGCAGAATGAGAGTACTGAACATGGGGAAGGGGCTTGGTGGGGTGGGTGATGAGCAGGTGAAAGATTTGTAAAAAAGAAAAGGAGGGGTTGAGAAGGGTAATCTTACTTTGAAATTCTACCTGGGGCGCTCAGGAGACGGTCTGCCGTTGAAAGTCACCTCAGCGGCTGGACTAGATTAGTAAGAATGACAACATCGCATCCTTCAAAGGCTCTGCCTCGGCTGCACTGAGACACGATAAAGGCCAGTCTTTAAAAACTGAGTGATCTCTAAACACTCTGCACTAGTCATACCACCACCGTCCCGTTCAAGAGTCTGTGCCTCTAAGGCTGTTCATTCTGTCTAGTTCATGATCCCTTTCTCAGATGGATCAACTCTGCTTATCCTTGAAGACTTCAAAGAAATTAGTGAGAGACAGTCACCATCACCAGAGTCAGCACAGGTCAACTTTTCTCTACAGGCTTGGGGTTTCTGAAGTTGGACTTGATGTGGAGAAGCTGGATAGCAACCAAAATGATTGAAGGGCTGTGGCGCTGGCACTGGTAAGAATGAAAAGAATTAGGGTTACTGGACTTGGTGAAAAAGACATGAGGAGAAGGGACAGGCAAATAATAATCAAACACCATGAATCAGAGGGTAGGGAAGGTAGCCACCGTTCCTTTGCTTTTACTAGAGACTAAGAAATGGATTATACATAGCAAGAAGCTTCAGAAAAGATTTCTTACTACATAAAGGTTCCAAGACATTGGAGTTGACCAAGGGAGTCTGTGAACCCTATTATTTTAATTACTCAGCTCATGGAGTTGTTTTGAGGATTACGTATATAAAAATCTGCGTAAATGACGTAGTATACAGTGCCTGGTTCACACCGTGGCTCAAATGATGGTTATTATTATTCTCTTACTAAGCATGCTTTAAAGGCTGTCGGAAAACTTTGGGGCCACCTAGGAAATCGTAGTATAATCAAATAATGCTGAAATTCTTGTGTGTGTGTGTGTGTGTGTGTGTGTGTGTGTGTGAGGTAGGGGCTCACTCTGTCGCCCAGGCTGGAGCACAGCAGGGCGATTACGGTTCACCTCAGCCTCGACCTCCCGGGCTCAGCCTCCCAAGTAGCTGGGACCAGAGGCGCACGCCACCACCCTCGGCTAATTTTTCTATTTTTTTGTAGCGACACTGCCTCGCAATGTTGCCCAAGCTGGGATGCTGAAATTCTTCCCCTTCCAAGAATCCATCTATAATTATAGCCTCCACGTCATTCTCCCTATTGGAATGTTTAATTGACTAAAACTACATTGCCTTCATCTGCTTACTAAGCGGTGGATCCAGTAAAGACCACATCTTGTCCAAAAGACGGCAGCACTTAATTAGCGCTCAAATGGCACTCGAACGTTTGGGCGAGGGGGTGTTCAGTCGCAGCCACCTTACTTTGCGAAGGCACACAGGGACAGACGTTCGCTAAGTGCCGATACTTAGGGAGAACGAGAGGGCCTGACCAGGTAAAGACGGCCTCCGCTGCCCAAGCTACACAAAAAGGTTGGGGAGCCAGGACCCGGCAAGCAAGGAGAGAAAAGTTTCATGCGTTGAGCTGGAGTCTGAAGCAAGGACCTAACGGACACAGGGAAACGTCACAGGAAAGGGAGCCCAGGAGAGCAGACGCGGAGCCACCAGACCAGAAAAAGGAAAAAGCACTGGAAAACAGCATCGAAGTCACCGGAAAGCAGCATCGAAGCCACCGGCGCCAGCCTCATACCTGCGCTTCCCGCTCCCCTCCTCGGCGCCTAGTGATAACCTCACCCGCCGGCGCCCAATCCCGTCGAGCGTCAGGCGTGAGGCGGCGCAGCCAAACAGTCACATCCGGGGCCGAGAGGAACCGCGAACGAGCTGGGCGTGCGCCCTTGCTTCGTGCCCTCAACCCGCATGGCGGAGCCGCTGGCGCGCCGCGGAGAGGCCGGGCGAGTCGGGCGGTTTCGGCGCCCGCGCTGAGCCGCGGAGGAGGGGCGGAGGACGCCCCTGCAGCCGGTGCGTCTGCCCTCAGTGAGGCGGGGCGCGCGGCGGACGCCCCCGGGCAGGGGCGGGAGTGGTGGAGGCGCCGGCGGTTGGCACTGACAGGGGCGGTGAGCGAGCCGCTCCGGTCTCCGGGCGAGGCTTGGCCTTCCGAGCAGAGACGGCGGGAAGCGGCGGCGGCAGCGGCGGCCCTAGGGCCGGCTGGTGAGGCGATGGCGGCGCCGGCCCCGGGGGCTGGGGCAGCCTCGGGCGGCGCTGGCTGTAGCGGCGGCGGCGCGGGCGCGGGCGCGGGCTCGGGCTCTGGGGCCGCGGGGGCCGGGGGCCGGCTGCCCAGCCGGGTGCTGGAGTTGGTGTTCTCTTACCTGGAGCTGTCCGAGCTGCGGAGCTGCGCCCTGGTGTGCAAGCACTGGTACCGCTGCCTGCACGGCGATGAGAACAGCGAGGTGTGGCGGAGCCTGTGCGCCCGCAGCCTGGCAGAAGAGGCTCTGCGCACGGACATCCTGTGCAACCTGCCCAGCTACAAGGCCAAGGTGAGAGAGCCCCGGGCCACACCGCTGCCCCCAGTCCCGCTCCCCGGCGTCGTTCGCGGTGTTTCTCATCCGAGCTTCTGAGTCAGAAGCTTCGCCTCACCAGCCCGCCTTTCCACGGCTCCAGTCAGTATCTTCCTCACCTCCCCCCAAGATAAAGATTCTCTTTTCTTTGGATCGAAGTTCTGCTCCTTAACCCATCCCACTTCCGTGATCCACTTTTCAAACAACTAGGTAGTTTGCCTCACTCATTCAACTTTTGACAGTTTTCCCCGTTAAAGACAGACCACCACTCTTGTACCTTTTAATGCCCTCATCCTACTTTTCTCCCCGGCCTCCAGATAGACTTCATTATATTAAATAATCCCGGCCACCTTAACATGGGCTTAGTTTCTAAGTTTCTAAGTTTCTAGTTTGCTTTCACTCCACGTTTATCTCATCTTTTCCAAGCTCTGATTTTTAACCATTTGTTTTCATTATTTTCCCCCAAGTTCTCTTTAGTTCCCTCCACTATATTGGAGGCTTACAAGTGAGTGTAGTTCTAGTCATCCTGCTCACTTACAAGATACAGGCTTTTATAGAACGTCCACGGGCACCACCTAACATACTGCTTTGTCCTGCTGTTATTGGCTGTTTCCTTGCTAACTTTTTAATAGTTCCACATTGATGGTGTCTCTCTTTTTCTATTTGTCATCTAACGTGCTGATTACAGTTTCGCTGCATCCTTCCTGCATATTCCGCCCGCCTTCATATACAAAATAAAAATGTCAAGGAACAAGTTGTGGTACGGCTGAAAGGACTCTCAGGCCGAATAAACAAAGGGTCTTGGTCTTGAGTTGAGTTGAATGGTTAACAGCTATTCAGTATAGCAGTCAATCAAGATCATATATAAGAGAAGATAAAGTCTGATTGCAATGTGTTAAACATAATGAATGCATTAGTAACTAAAACGATAACATCCCCCCCTTTTTTTTTTTTTTTGAGACGGAGTGCAATGGCGTGATCTCGGCTCACCGCAACCTCCGCCTTCCAGGTTCAAGCAATTGTCTTGCCTCAGCCTCCCGAGTAGCTGGGATTACAGGCATGCGCCACCATGCCCGGCTAATTTTGTATTTTTAGTAGAGTTGTGGTTTCTTCTTGTTGGTTAGGCTGGCCTCGAACTCCCGACCTCAGGTGATCCGCCCTCCTCGGCCTCCCAGAGTGCTGGGATTAGAGGCGTGAGCCACCGCGCGATAACACCCCCTTTTTAATGCTAGCTTGCCAACAGGGGTCGGAGTAAGAAGTAAAAATTTTTTTTTCATGTGAAGCATGTAAAATTTATACTTATGTAGTAAAACCGGTTTTAGTTATAGAAGATAGGGAACATTGCCATTAAATATGTAAACTATCAAGTTGTTTCTCTTTTCTTTTTTCTTTTTTTTTTTTTTTTTGAGACGGAGTCTCGCTCTGTCACCCAGGCTGGAGTGCAGTGGCGGGATCTCAGCTCACTGCAACCTCCGCCTCCCGGGTTCACGCCATTCTCCTGCCTCAGCCTCCTGAGTAGCTGGGATTACAGGCGCCCGCCACCACGCCCGGCTAATTTTTTGTACTTTCAGTAGAGACAGGGTTTCACCGTGTTAACCAGCATGGTCTCAATCTCCTGACCTCGTGATCCGTCGCCTTGGCCTCCCAAAGTGCTGGGATTACAGGCGTGAGCTCATGCGCCCGGCCTCAAGTTGTTTTTCTATTAAGCGAAATAACAATAATTTACTAGGACTGTTTGTGCGTGGTGGCTATTCAGTGGATACTGGTTGTAATTTATATAGGTGAGTACAGACGATTGGAATTTTGTCCTACTTTGATAAATGTGTCGGTTTCATAAATTTTATTTAGTTTTTATTTTTCTGTAAAGTTTATTGTTTTTACTTATTTTAAACTAGGAGTTTTTGTTGTTGTTTTTGAGACAACAAAACAACAAAACTCTGTCGCCCAGGCTGCAGTGCAGTGGCACAATCATAGCTCACTGCATCCTCGACCTCCTGAGCTCAAGGGATCCTCCTTAGCTTAGCCTCCCGAGTAGCTGGCACTTCAGTCATGTGCCACCACACTGGCTAATTTTTTATTTTTTAGAGACACGGGGTCTCACCTTGTTGCCTAAGCTGGTCTCAAACTCCTGGACTCAAGCGATCTTCTTGCCTCAGCCTCCCAAAGTGCTGGGGTTACAGGCATTAGCCACTGCACCCAGCCTAAATTAGGAGTTGTTGTTTTGATAATTGACTTGTAATAGAAATGTTCACATGATTCAAGATTCATATTATAATATGTAATAGATAATGTGTTCGTGTGAGTCAAGCTTCAATAGAAGCAAAATGATATCAAGCAAAATGTTTTCCTTTCATCCTTGTCGCTCAGCTACCCGGTTCCTCTCCATGTATGCAACCTGTCTTACTTTTTCTTTTGTATCCTTCCAGAGATATTTTAGGTTTCTGAGGTTTTTAATACTTTGCTTTTCTGCTATGTGCATTATAGATGTTGTAGACTTGTACCAATCACTGTTCATTCACACATTGTAGGACTTCCCTTGAATATTTTGAGGATAAAAGATTAATTCAAAAGGAGTCAAATAGTCTAGTAGGAAATCTTTCAGTCTAGTAGAGGAGAGAAAAATGTATAGAAAGAACTGCTAATGTGTGGTAGAAATTGCTCCTTACTGTTACAGACATAAAAAAGTATACTAGAAGTTCAGTGAAAGGAGGAATTTACAAACTGAGTGGAGGATTGGAGGAGATTTGAGGTTGAGCTTATATTTGAGCTGAATTTTAAAGATGAGGAGGAGTTTAGTATTTTAGGAAGAGGAAGTACTCTGAGCAGAAGCAGGACAAGAGGAAAGTAAAGGGTTTGTACAACATATATTTTTATTTAAAAAAATGAGTGCCAGGCACTATGCTCATTTGCAGATGCAATGGCAAATAAAACAAACACAGTCTCTTAATGGATGTCTTGCCTTATGGAGCTTACAGTCTAGTAGGGGAAATGGATATTAATCAAATAATCACACAGATGTAAAACCGCATCTGGTAAGTAGTATGAAGGAAAAATACCTAGTGCTCTGATTGTCAGTAGTGGAGGATTTAACCTGGTGGAGAGGTGAGGGAAGGCTTTCTCAGATCCATGTACTGAGACCTGAAGGATGATAAGTAGGCAAAGGGGAGAGAGAACAGCCTTCCAGGAGGGAACCTTATGAGTGTGAGGGATGGAAAATATGTCAATGTGGCTGGAGCACAGAGAGCAAAGGTGATGCTGGTTTGAGATAAGATGGAAGAAGTGGACTGGGACCAAAGCGTAGGGAAGCCATTTTGAGTTGTAAGCAAGAAGGATTTGAGGTGTGGGGATTGGTGATATGATTATTTTGCATTTTAAGAGATTATTTCTGACTTTAGTATGGAGAACTAAATTGTTGGTTGGAAGAGGACCTTAGAAATATGGTAGATCAATTAGGAAATAGGTAGTGGAGGAGATAGAAATGGGCAGATTTAGTAAGTAAAATCTATAGAATTGGCAATAGATTTGAAATAGGGATGAGGAAGAGGGAAGTGGTAAGGATGACTCCTAGTATTTGGCTCACATAATGTAGAGATCAGTTGATCTAGATTTTTTTTTTGAGATGAGGTCTTGCTCTGTTGCCCTGGCTGGAGTGCAGTGGAATGATCATAGCTCACTGCAGCCTTGAACTCCTGGGCTCAAGCGATCCTCCCACTTCAGCCTTCTGTGTGGCTGGGACTACAGGCATGTGCCACCATGCCCAGCTAATTTTTATTATTATTTTTTTTTGTAGAGATGTCTCATTATGTTGCCCAGGCTGGTGGGCTAGGTTTCGAAGAAATGGCAGTGAGTTCAGTTTTGGGAGAGCAGCATTTACAGTATTTTTGAGACAGAGATTTCCAATAGGCAGCTGTTGGAGGTTGGAGCTTAGAGGAGAGATCTGCGCTAAAGATATAAAATAATATAGTTAGATTGAATGAAAGGAAGTAGTGGGAAATATTATAAAGCTATATTATGGGACTAGATATATCATGGAGGGCTTTGAAATATAGCCTTCAGTCTATAGTTTGGGTTTTGTACTACAGTTGTAAACCATAGAAGTTTGAACAGCAGAGTGACAAAGGCTCTACTTCAAAAAGACTAGGCCATAGATGAGTTGGAGAGGGCAGCGGTTAGTGCCTATACCAGAGATACTTAAGACTGGAACAGGTACATCGAGGAGAGAAGGGGATGGCTGGAGAGCTGTCGTAGAAAACAATATACATAGGTAGACAGCTGACTGGGTGAATGGGATGAGGAAGATGGATGTGTCAAATGGATTTTCCCAGGAGCCTGGATAACAGAGAATGATAGGAAAAGGTTTAGGGATAGCATAGAACAGGAAAGTGGAGTTTATTAATCTGTTCAGTTGTTTTTTTTTTAAGTTCATATTTTACATATCACCCCGTAGCATTAATTATTTAAGTCATACTTGGCATCTGATGAGAATTCTCTAAAGTTCAGACTTAGATTTTAAGCTAGGTCTTCATGCTGCTTTTGCCATAACAAAATTCAGGTTGTGCATGGGAATGTGAGGCTATGGGTTGTTTTTAATTTATTAATTTGGTCTTTATTTTCCTTTTTTTTTTTTTTTTTGAGACAGAGTCTTGCTCTGTTGCCCAGGCTGGAGCGCAGTGGCACAATTTCAGCTCACTGCAACCTCTGCTTCCTGGGTTCAAGTGATTCTGCCTCAGCCTCCCAAGTAGCTTGGATTACAGGAGCCTGCCACTACGTCCAGCTAATTTTTGTATTTTTAGTAGAGACAGGCTTTCACCATGTTGGCCAGGACGGTCTCGATTTCTTGACCTCGTGATCCGCCTGCCTCGGCCTCCTGAAGTGCTGGGATTATAGGTGTGAGCCACCATGCCCGGCCTATTTTCCCATTTCATATGAAGTTTCCAGTATCTGTTTCTAAAAAGTAAAGACACTTAATGTAATCACAATATGGTTATCACATCTAAATATAAATGTACATTAATTCCTTAATATCAAAAATGCAGTGTTCAAATTGCCAGTTGTCTCATAAATGTTAAATGTTGCATTTTAAAGTTATATTTTATATAATCAAGATCTATATAAGGGTCCCATGGCAAAGGTTGATATGTCTCTTAAGGCTATTTTAGTCTACATATTCACTCACCATCTCCCCAACCTCCCACCTTATTTGTTGAGGAAACAAGGTGGTTTACTCTCAGCTCGATTTTG